>NC_000009.12:36525151-36676666 GCF_000001405.40 Homo sapiens | reverse complement strand
AATTAGTAATGAGAGATAACCTCTTATGACGATCATCACATCACTTTATGGCAGAAAGAAAAGCAGAAGAAAAAGCCCAAGGAAATGGTATATTCCCATAACTGAAACGTACGGCATTTATAGATAGAACTGCCGCATTATCTACTCTGAGAATGGAAAGGCCCAGTCAAAATGAAGCCTGAAACACATCTTAAGACATACGTATGATCCTGCAAAGCTGTATAAATTTAATTCATGTAATAATATTTAATTAGTTTACATTCTATTTTAGAGTTTTGTTTGTCTTACCAATCTTCAATAAATAGGACTGATTTTAAGTTTCAATTCCCTAAATACTTAAGGGTTCCTGATTAAGTGCTGTTCCACAGATGTGTGGAGAAGTTACATTGTTTCAGTTATGTACTTTTTTCTGTTTCATACTGTTATGTACCAAAATATTCTTTTTCTTACTAACTTAGTCATGTGTTTTGGGAAAGAGGCTTGATCTCTCAAAAATAAGCAGTCAACATCAAAAATGCCAAAAGGAGCACCCTGAAGTTAAGATTCTTGACAAGAAGATGAGGCATAGAACAATTTAGTCACATGTTAGATAATAGATCATTGAGAGACCTGTGACAGAGGTATGCCCAGAGGCTCATAGCCCCAAGCATGAAGAAGAGATCAGAGTGGGAGAGATGTGTTCTAATGAAGCCTGAGAGGAATGCCAGGGTTCACAGAAGGAATGCTTGCCAACATTTACAGATAACTAAAAACTAAAAATTATATCTGCACAAGATTGTTTCTTCAAATCTTACTCTATATTGACTATTCTATTTACATGTTTAAATCCATGCATGTCTCTTCTGGTTGCTTTAATAAAGAAATTTTAAAGGGAAATAATTGAATGGAAATGCTTAGAAATACGGCCATCTTGGGTGACCAGAAGAGGCCTGGCTATTGAGACCAGGAGATCATAACCAAGGAGGCTTTGATGGCAGTTCCTTCAACAGCGGGAGAGAGGTAAGGTGAAAAAACTTCCTAAAGCACTGAAAACCCAGCCCTGTAAAACAGCCAGTCATGAAGAGAAGGATTCTGTATAAATCCCTGATTCATTTGAAATGTCTCACAAATTTAGATTATAATTTATAAATATTATTGTAAAGCAGACAATCAAAGGAAAATAGAGGATCTACAAGAAAGCCAGAAGAATTTTGAATTTTCCTATTTTGAAATAAAGTGGGACAATATCTGTGCTTCTAAAACTTTTATAGCTTGAACCAAACAAAAGAGAATAAATTATAAGCAATAACACTACCTCAAAAGCTTTTGGGAATGAGGTGGGAGAAATACATTTTTTCTAAAGCACAGGGGTGAGGAGATCAACTTCTATTTTCTCTTTTTTTTGAGACAGAGTCTCGCTCTGTTACCTATGCTGGAGTGCAGTGGTGTGATCTCAGCTCATTGCAGCCTCCACCCAGGTTCAAGTGATTCTCATGCCTCAGCCTCCCACGTAGCTGGAACTACAGGCATGTGCCACCATGCCCAGCTAATTGTTTGTATTTTCAGTAGAGACAGGGCTTCTCCATGTTGGCCAGGCTGAACTTGAACTCTTGGCCTCAAGTGATCTGCCCACCTCAGCCTCCCAAAGTGCTGGGATTACAGGCGTGAGCCACCGCGCCCAACCAACTCCTATTTTCTCAAAGTCCAAAAGATACTAATAAATGCAACAGCTTGTAAATGTGCTTCTTACCCCTTTTGTACAAAGTCAACATGCTTCTTTGGAAGAATAGACATTATTTCATTCAACAGTTGATCTGGATTCACTAATCTAGTTGTAGTCACGTTATAGTGAAGCTAAGAAAAGAAAAAGAAGAGATGAGAAGTAAATTTTTACATCAACACAAAGACCATCACACCAGATCAAGAGTTCCAAAACTCCTCAATATAGTACTGTTTCAAATGGAACTATTTCCTAAAAAATATCAAAGGAATTTACAGTCAACTCTTAGTGAGTTAATGGCCCACTGGGAGAGCTTGGAGAAGTTATGGTTATTAGTAAACACACCCATAGCTTCCTTTTCATACTTTCATCTTCCTCTCCTACCAATCCTTTTAAAGAAATAAATATTAAAGAGCACCCATCTAACTGTTTGAGCTTTGCCTATTTTCCCCTTCCCACACTATTTTAAGAGACATTAACAGTCCTGAAATGTATACCACGGAAAGATAAACAAACACCATACAAAGTTTGCTTTGTACCTAGTTGGATATGTTTCCTTAACTCTTTCTGGATTATTTAAAGAATATTATAGAGTTCCAGGAGCTGATTTTATGACAGTTCTATGAGGAAATAAATGTAACAGGTATTCCTTTAAAAAAGTGATGTCATATTATTTTTTCTCATTGACTGAGAGCCTAATTCTCAGAGATAATTTCATTCCTAATTGATATTTATCCTTCATTCATTCAACAACTACTTTTGAATGTTTACTATGTGGTAGGCACTGTTTTAGTGGGTCCTGGACACACAAAAATCCCTCCCTTCCTGGTAAGTACCTTCACTGTCAAACAAAACCATAGTTTCTATATCTTTCAGGTTTGAGTTCATTGTATAAATAACAAAATGCCTAGGAAGAAAAGTATCCAACTATCTTACTTTTCAAAATAAGAACCTATGGCCCAAAGAAGAGATACAAATTTCTTAAGGTAGTGCTTCTCATAGTGTGATACAAGATAGACAAGGTAATTCTGGGTGGCACATGGATAAATATTTTTAAATATGTATTTGTTCCCAACTGATTTCGAAAACATAATTAACAACAACAACAAAAAAACCCTAATGATATAAAGGTTTCCTTTTAAATAAATTTGAGTTTTAAAAAATTATCTTGATTGTGGCAATGGTTTCACAGATGTTATATATAATGCCAAAGCATATTAATTGTACTTTAAAATATGCACAGTTGGCCGGGTGTAGTGGCTCATGACTGTAATCCCAGCACTTTGGGAAGCCAAGGCAGGAGGATTACTTGGGCTCAGGAGTTCAAGACCAGCCTGGGTAACATAGTGAGACCCTGTCTCTGCAAAAAAAATTAAGAATTAGCCAAGTGTGGTAGCACGCATCCCAGCTACTCAGGAAGCTGAGGCAGGAGGATGACTTGAGCCCAGAAGGTTGAGGCTGCAGTGAGCTATGATCATGCCATTGCACCACAGCCTGGGCAGCAGAGCAAGACTCTGCCTCAAAAAATTAACAACAAATAAAATAAAATAAAATATGTGCAAGTTTATTATATGTCAGTTATATCTCTATAAATCCATTTGTTAAAGGAGAGTCAACATAATGAAAATACCAGATAAATAATAGTGCACCCAATACACCCATAGAGCAAATGTCGTGAAACTGAGTGTTAACGAAGGGACCCTCTCTTTCTTGGTTCCTGATCCAGCACTCTTTTCACCAAACTAAATTGGCTCTGTTAAGATGATATTAATAATAAACTGAACACCTTCAAATCACAATATATTACTGCTTTGGTAAAATAAAGAATGAATCCTAATTTATCTACTTAAATTTTGGATTTTTTATAGACTGCTTCCTAAAAGAGGACATAACTACATATGATTTGCTATCTTAAAAAACTAAGGTATTATTTCTACTATCCTTGCAACTCTTCCGGTAAGTGTATAGTTTTTAGTACAGTATTTGAAGTAGGTGAAAAAAAATAAGGTTAATTTCCCAAAGAAAGTCCTTCAGTTTTGCAAAAACTTAAAAGCATTAAAAAGTGTTAATGATCTAAAGTTAAAGTTTTCAATCTTAGGACTGTGCTAATTAGGACCATGGGTCTATACATGGGTGGTAAAATGCTCAACACTGATAGTAATCCTTGACATTGGAAACATGTCACCTTATACTCATAAAGCATTTAATATGCCATGTAGCATCCCATATGTAGAGTCTTGTTTCTACATCTCAGCCGTGTGAGGTTGCCAGGGTAGGCATTATTTCCAGATTTTACAAATGAAGACACTGAGGAGATCAGGAATAAAATGATTTATCAAAGCTATACAGCACAAAGCTGGAGCCAGAACCCAGGTCTTCTCATTCCCAATCCTGTGGTTTTTCTCCTACATTCTGGAAGTACTGGAGAACTACCTAGAAAGCCAACTAACACCACAGTAGTTTCTATTGAAAAATGCATTCAGGTTCCAAAATATTTACATAACTGACCATTTTTAGAACATTATCCGTTAGTATTTGGTAACTGCTTAGCTTCTCAATAATGTGTATATATGTGGTTGAACTAGTTTCCTTAATTTTATTTAACATTTTTCAGTGCAATGGTACTATGGTTTTTTTAAATCTCAGTGTCGGTGCTTGAAATACTTAACTATCTCCAACCAGAGAAATTTCAGAACAAAAGGATAAAATATGCCTAATACACAGCCATATGTAACGTCTCAGCACACTACAAAAGTTCAAGGTAATGACTGCTAGTGGATAACTCCTATCTTCTTCCACTTTAAGACAGAACAGAAATGAGATCACAGAACATTCTCCTCTAAAACACCCTTCTGCCCAAA
The DNA here is from genome assembly GCF_000001405.40 of Homo sapiens. Classification (NCBI taxonomy): domain Eukaryota; kingdom Metazoa; phylum Chordata; class Mammalia; order Primates; family Hominidae; genus Homo; species Homo sapiens. The sequence goes on along the minus strand of NC_000009.12, from coordinate 36,672,106 downwards.
AGCTCAGCATTTTCCTTCCCTCAAACCGCCCAGATTTGCTCATTACGAGAGTCTCAGTGCAAAAACTAAACATAGACCCAGTCCCCAAATGATGGGCACACTACCATCTTCTCCCCTGCTTGGGCCCACACCTCTTGGAATGTGTTTTTACTATAGCACTGAGCCCAGTGTTTCAGAACAACATCCCAGCCTGTTTTCACAGCCAGCCTAAGAGTTCCTCAAGGAATGGGCTGTCTCATTCGTCCCTTTACCTCTTAATTACTCCCCTTCCACCAAACAAACATGTATTCATCAGATGTTTGAATGAATGCTCAGAGAGAATCCAAGAGAATAAAAAGTACTTTATATCAACTAACAGCTTATTTTTCCTTTCCTTCCTTGACTAAATATATTGTCCACACCAGTGACACATTAACCCTTTTAAAGCATACTGGGTCTATTAAATAAGATCCACACCTTCTTAGCCAGGCCTTGAGGCCCTTCCGGCCTACCTTCCCCGCTTGTCACTCACTATTTTCCTGACACACACCACACTCAAAGTTCCAATTATCTTCCCATGCATTCAAATATTTCATGAGGGCCTACAAAGTATCCATGAATCAGGGACACAACTGAGCTCAAGTCCCCCTCCTTAAGGCAGCTCTCAGCTCTCCATCTGTGCCCCCTGCTTCCTCACCTCCATGTTGCCCCTGTGACTAATCCCTCCACCTGTTCTTGAATATTTGAATGATAGCTGTTTGCTCCTTGAAGGGAGTGACTGTATCTATTTACTGACTGCACAGTAACATGCAGATTTTAGTTGCTCAAAAAACATATATTAACTAAGTGAATAAATACTCAAATAAAAAACACTAATCAATTCATTCAGCACCTTAAAAAAAAAAGGCAGTCCATTAGCAGTCAGCTTCTGCTCCATATGAAAGAATTCCAGCCTGCTTACCTTTAGTCTTCTGGGCCCGTCTCTGGCAGAACCCTTCCTTTTGCTCCTGGTGAGCACAGTGATAACCTTATCCAACCCCCTTTCAAGGCTCCCAAACACTTTGGCTCCCTTTCTTTTTGGAGTCTCCTCCATATGTGCTTGGTTGAGATCCAATTCCACTGAGCGGCACCTGAAACAAAACATAAAACAAGGCACAAGTAGAGCTGGGCCTCCGGCCTGTGGGGTCCACAAGGGTGAACTTTTGTCCCTTCATACACATTAGGATGCCTCACTCAGGTATGCCAGGGCCAGATCACCTCTCTCTTCCTCAGGAAGCACCAAAGCCATCTCCCCCTGGACAGGAGCTGTCACACTTCTACCAGGCAACTGCCACTCAGCAAAACTATTTATCCCCTTCCTTTTTAAAAAAGGATATATATATCCTTTTTTCATATATATAGAAAAGTTCAAAGAAGAGTACAATGAACACCGGTATATCCTCCTAGATTCAACAATTGTTCATATTTTGCCACATTTGCTTTCTATTTGGATATAGATAATATATTAATGTACATATGTATATAGATATACACTGATATATATACATCAATGTATATATCTATATATACACATAAATTTAATGTATGTAGATAATACATTAAATTTACTTATTTGCTAAGCCATCTGAAAGTAACTCATCTGAACATATCATGACACTTTACTCTGAAACACTTCAGTATACATCTCCAATGAATAAGGATGTTGTCTTCCATAAAGACAACACCATAAAGTGTGCTGAGAAGTTTACGTTACATATGGCTGTTTATTAGGCATATTTTATCCTTTTGTTCTGAAATTTTTCTGGTTGGAGATAGTTAAGTATTTCAAGCACTGACACTGAGATTTAAAAAAACCATAGTACCATTGCACTGAAAAATGTTAAATAAAATTAAGGAAACTAGTTCAACCACATATATACACATTATTGAGAAGCTAAGCAGTTACCAAATACTAACGGATAATGTTCTAAAAATGGTCAGTTATGTAAATATTTTGGAACCTGAATGCATTTTTCAATAGAAACTACTGTGGTGTTAGTTGGCTTTCTAGGTAGTTCTCCAGCACTTCCAGACTGTGGGAGAAAAACCATAAGATTAGGAATGAGAAGACCTGGGTTCTGGCTCCAGCTTTGTACTATATAGCTTTGATAAATCATTTTATTCCTGATCTCCTCAGTTTCTTCATCAATAAATTAATAATAATTCCATAATATCATCTAATACCCTGTCCACATTCTAATTCTCCAATTGTCTTGAAAATAGACAATGCCTTTAAGAAATTGCTATAAAAGAATAGCAACTTGAAGAGTTACCTATGCTGCAGAACTTTTCATACAGAGGATTTTCTTTGAAACAACAGTATCTTTACGATTTGGGAGGACTACAATCTGTTAGAGGATATCTGTATTTTACTGGCAGAAGAGAAGGGTAAGATGGGCCTCAGAGAGGTAACTAGTTGGCTGGGGTGAGGACCACTGTCTTCCCAGCCTGTTGTACTTAAGGTGCCGTCCTACTGCTGATCAGTTTCATGATTCTACCCCATGAGGAAGGCAGTGGCTACAGGTCCAGGAATGGCCACAGGTCATCCACACATAAACAGATATTCCTACTCTCCAACAGAATCTATGTGATGATTTACCTTAATCAGGTCTATTAATACATGAAAAAGGAAATCTGGTTACATATACTAAAGATTAGAGTCTAAAAAAACCAAACACTTACCGCCTCTCAGGGCTAATGACACCTGTCATTAACTTGTCTGTTCCTGTTGAATTTACTGGTATTTTAATTGGAGTTTCTTTCAGGCACTGGTTTCTAGCTATTAGAAACAGAACAAACACAATCCATATGCAGCACATACTATGGTTCTGAAATTTCTATTATTAATAATAATGCAGGTATCACATTATTCATTGACTCAGAAACAGTATAATCACTTGACCTGTGATGTCGAAGGCTCTAATTCTTTCAAGAAATGTTTCCATGTGATTTATAATAAAAACAAAATCATTTTGCTTTGTATGTGTGGCTCTTCTTTTTTTTCTTCACTGCAAATTTAGGCCATGCTTTTAATTTTATTATAAACATCATATGATAAATCTAAACAGATCATATAAATACAAATCTCATAATTACTGATTCTTTTTCTAAAAATAAAAGTCAATCTGTATTTATACAAGGGCCCAATTTATGCTTTTAATTGATCTAGTATTAAAAGGTGTTAATTGAATTCATAGCCCGATTCAACTCATGTTAGGCAAAAAGAACAGACCCCTGTGAAAGCTTGACATAAGTTATTAAAGAGATGTAAGCTTTGGCCAGGCACAGTGGCTCATGCCTGTAATCCCAGCACCTTGGGAGGCCGAGGAGGGCGGATCATGAGGTCAGGAGTTCGAGACCAGCCTGGCCAACATGGTCAAATGCCATCTCTACTAAAGATACAAAAAAATTAGCTGGGCGTGGTGGCGCACGCCTGTAATCCCAGCCACTTGGGAGGCTGAGGCAGAAGAATCCCTTGAACCCAGTAGGCAGATGTTGCAGTGAGCCGAGATCGCGCCATTGCACTCCAGCCTGGGAGACAGAGCAAGACTTCATCTCGGAAAAAAAAAGAGATGTAAGCTTTGATTATTTTTTATATTCCCTGTTCCAGAATTTTGTGTTTTATTCTAAGTAGGGTATTTGCATTCCAGATAGTTTATGACAAATTTGTACTAACGAATCTGGTTATACTGATTAGCTCATGATCTAAAAGTTTTATACCCTTTAGAGATAATATTCACACTATAAAAACAAAGATATAATATCAAAATTTTAAAAGAGATTAGGGGCTTGGTTTTGTTTATGACTATTTGGCTACATTCTCACTTTCCACAAGAACAAGAAAATAAGAGCAATCAGAAATATTTATAAAAACAGTTTTCATCTTTGTATACAGACAGTATCTATCACCATACAGAACTGCCCTTCAACAAACTGCCAATGCCTGCATTGTGTAGGAGTGACGAAAATGAAATTTATGTTTATGTCAAAAATAACTCACAATGAAAGTAAAATGCAGGTCTGGGCATGGTGGGCTCACCCCCGTAATCCCAGCACTTTGGGAGGCCGAGGCAGGTGGATCACCTGAGGTCAAGAGTTTCGAGAGCAGCCTGCCCAACATGTTGAAACCCCATCTCTACTAAAAATACAAAAAATTAACCGGGCATGGTGGTGCGCACCTGTAATCCCAGCTACTCAGGAGGCTGAGGCAGGAGAATCTCTTGAACCTGGGAGGCGAAGGTTGCAGTGAGGCAAGATCATGCCACTGCACTCCAGCCTGGGCAACAAGAGTGAAACTCTGTCTCAAAAAAAAGAAGAAAAGAGAAGAGAAGAGGAGAGAAGAGAAAAAAGAAAAGAAAGAAAAATGCAAAGTGCCAGTGGAAGCTAACAATCATGGCTTCAGCCACTTGCTTCCTTAAGTGGCTCGTGTTTAAAAAGAAACAACCAATAATAGCTTTGACCAACACAATCTTTCTCGTCATGACAACATATGTCAACTGATAATATTTCAAGATTATAAAATAAATTCCAAACTACCCATATTGCAAAACCTTCAGAGTTACACAAAAAGTAAAAAATGTCAATAATGGAAGGGATTATGGCATTAAAATTTTTTTTAAATAAAAAAGCCCTGGGCCGGGCACAATGGCCCACGCCTATAATCCCAGAAATTTGGGAGGCTGAAGAGGGCAGATCACCTGAGGTCAGGAGTTTGAGACCAGCCTGACCAATATGGTGAAGCCCTGTCTTCACTAAAAATACGAAAATTAGCTGAGCGTGGTAGCAGGCGCCTGTAATCCCAGCTACTAGGGAGGCTGAGGCAGGAGAATCGCTTGAACCCAGGAGGCAGAGGTTGCAGTGAGCCGAGATCGCACCACTGCACTCCAGCCTGGGCAACAGAGCAAGACTCCAACTCAAAGAAATTAAAAAAAAAAGAAAAAAAGGGGAAAAAAAAGATCGTTGAATGAGCTAAGGTGAGCTGAGGTCCGTTTTATCTCCCTGCCCAATCTCATGAGTCACAAAGGGTACTGTATTTACAGTAAGAGAAACAACAGAACAGAAAGAGACCCTTTCATTGGGAAAGAATGCAATAGCAGCTACCATTGCAGGGTAGAGGCTATCTCACTGAATTCTCATAACAACCACAGGCAGCGCCACCGCACCCCCCCACACACACACCATCACACACACACACACACACACACACACACACACACACACACACACACACACACAAACACAGACATCATCAGGACACCAAACTGGCCTCACATTTTGGCGGAAAGTGTTATTTGAGTTGATGAAATGGAAAATGACGTTAACATAAAAATGGGACTTCTAGCAAATATTCTGGCAAAGTCTTCCGTAATATCTTTATAGACAAGAAGTTAACCCCTCAAACTGGCTATGAGCTCCATTAGTACACTAGAAGCACAATGGCAGGATGTGGTTTCCCAGCAGTTCACATGGCAATGCTCCAGAGTTTAGGTTTGTTAGAATCTTGAAACTTGAGAAGGTCACAATTGGTGGGGGGAAAAAGGCTAATAAAGTTTAGGTAACATTTTTTAAAGTGACATAAACAGGATCACTGTAAATAAAATTCCTTTGGGCTCTAATTTATTAATTCATTACATAAATATGGCCCCTATTATGTACTAGGCATCAGGTCTAGTACTGTGTACTATGTACCAGACAGGTATGGCCCCTACTACAGACCATGCCATGCTGCAATAAACAAGGCAGAGAGTCTCTACTGTCATGACACTTACCACTCTACCCTAGTGAGACCTAGTCTAGAAAACTCAGTTTAGTTCTAGGCACTGTATTCTAAGAGGCAGTCTGATCAAATAGAATGTGTCCAGATGAGGCCAGCAACCAAAACAGTGAAGTATCATAAAGGAAATGGTTTAAATAACTGCTCATGACTAAATTGAAGAGGAAACCAAGGGAAATGAGGAAGTTGTGATAACTGGACAAAGACAGATATCTGGAAGGGCATCATGGATTCACCCTGCCTGCTGAGGACAGGCAGTAATACCATAGGGCAGAACAGGACCAGACACCACAACTGGAGATCCAGATAAGTAAAGGCTCAGCGGAGGCGTCAGCTTGAGTCATAAGTCGGGGTAAATGGGCATGAAAGGTCTAAACCTGGGTATATGACCTTGGGCAAATCACTTCACTCCTTCTGAGTCTCAGGTTTCTTAGCTGTGAAAAAGGGAGTTGGATTAAATGAGCTCTAACTTGCCTTTCAGCTTTGATATCCTAGGATGCTATGATTCAATTTTATAAACGTGAAAAAGAGGAAAAACTTGGTATCATTTGAGAATAAATTGAAATTGACAAATATGCTTTCATTTTAACTAATGCAAATGACATGATAAAAAACAGCTTCACTTCTCCTAGAAATTCCTGAAAGCAATGCTAGTCATTTCTGACCTGCTATATGTTTACTTAACATGGTAAGAAAAATGAAACTTCTTACTGCTTAATTCACTTAGCAAATACCTTTTGAGGGTGTAGTGTAACGATTTGGCGTAGTGAGTATTTCTCTCTTATGCTGGTTCTTATTAACTGGAGTCTTTGGCTCAGGAAACATAAAGTACTCTTCATTCTTTACAGCAGACTTAGGAGTATATACATTTTCTTTGTTCTTTAATTTATTTGCAGGTGTTCTGCATAAGGCTGGAGTTAATGATTTAGATTCCACCCCATTTGATTCTGTCCAGTACTTGGTAAACTGGAAAAAAAAAGTTACTAGATAAAGCACACTGAAGAAGAAAAGTCAATTTCTTTACAACATTCCTTGATCATTTGCAAACTACCTTGTACTATTTTTATTAAAATGAATTATCAAAAGGATATTATTGACATTAGGAAATTTGAAAATATATAGTTTTCTTTAATACATGTAGATCACTTTAGTCTGTTCTATTGACAGTAATTTTCAACATGATACAGGCTGAGTGTATACACATACTCAGATCCTAGGCAATATTGTGAATGGCCACAAATCAATCACTAAGAAATGCTTTCCATACCTAGATAGTCACGGCTTGCCTCTGACATGTACCAAAAAAAAAGTTTAGTCAGCAATTAGGGCAGAAAAAACATGTTAAACTACTCTAACAGAAATATTGGATAAAAAATACTTTTTAATCCTTTTAAATTTATGGTTGAGCTTGCAAGAGAGTAAGTAAAATCCTGAGAGGCCAAACTAAAAACATGAGAATGAATCCAAAGGAGTAACCAAGGCTGAAACTCTCTGCTGCCCTAAGGGCAGCTATCTTCTGCCTCTGATAACCTATAGCATGTGTTTCTACAGCCACAGAAGCCTTGGGCCTCTGCAAGGTGGTGAGTTAGAACCAAAGCTCCCATGTAAAGCCAGGAAGGGCTATAGCTAAAATTAAAGGCTGAGTTAAATATAAATCTGCTCTTCAAAGGGAATAGGCAAGAAAAAGGGTGTCTTGGTCTTGGTTCTGAGGGAGGAGAAAAATGAAGTTTCTTTTAATAATTTGTAAGTAAACACAGGCCAGTCTTCAGATAAATAAAGGTCCAAATTAATACAACCTGCATGGTCCCAGAAACCTCAAGCCTAAATTTAACTTAAAGTAGTCCTATGCTAAGTTGTGCCCCAGGAACCTGGTAGAAGCACGCACAACTCCTACCTGAAAGAAAAGCTTCACTCCAACCCAACTCAAGCCCTTAACCCAAGCCTCAGATAATTCCCATAGAGTTCAAAGAAAAATAAACCTACATAAAAAATTCCAAAAGACACAAGCACTATGAGCATAAAGATTTCAGATATTAAAATTATCAAATACAGAACATAAATAAGTATGTTTGCATGTTTAAAATAGTGAAACAAAAACATGAGTAAAGAACAAAAGACTACCAAAACTGTTCAAATAGATTTGAAAAAGAATAAAAACTTCTAGAAATAAAAACATGATAAAAATGAAAAGTGCAATGCACATGTCAAATAACAGAATAAAAGAAATAGAGATATTTTAATAGAAATATAAATCCGAAATAACTCTGAATGTAGCCAAGACAGAAAAAGACATACGATACGTGAAAGATGGTTGAAGGAAACAGAAAATGAAATAAAATGTCTAACATAAGGCTATTCTAAGTTCCAGATATACATAGTATGGACAATGCAAAAGCAGCAATTCCCTCTACTTCTTTTCCCAAAGGAAAAGAAATCAATACATCAAAAACATACCTGCACTTGTATATTTATCTCAGTACTTATTCACAATAGCAAAGATACAAAATCAACCCAAGTGTCCATCAACAGATGACTGCATAAAGGAAATGTGAGATAGATAGACAGACAGACACACAGATAGAATACTATTCAACCATAAAAAAGAATGAAATCCTATCTTTTGCAACAAGGTGGATGGAAGTGGAGGTTACCTTAAGTGAAACAAGCCAGACACAGAATGACAAATATTGCATGTTCTCACTCATAAGTGGGTGCTAAAAAAGGGTGTACACGTGGATGTAGAGAGTGGAATGATAGAAAATGTAGACTTGGAAGGGTGAGGAGATGGAAGGGGGTTGGTGATGAGAAATTACTTAAGGGGTGCGATGTACATTATTCAGCTGACACCTTAAAACCTCTCACTTGACCACTATGCATCTAAGAAAATTGTACTTGTACTCTATAAATTTATATAAATATTGTTTTAAAGAAAAGCAGGCTGGGTGCGCTGGCTCACACCTGTAATCCCAGCACTTTGGGAGGCCAAGTCATGTGATCACCTGAGGTCAGGAGTACAAGACCAGCCTGGCCAACATGGTGAAACTCTGTCTCTACTAATAATACAAAAATTAGCTGGGCATGGGGACAGGCACCTGTAATCCCAGCTACTCGGGAGGCTGAGGTAGGAAAATCGCTTGAACCTGGGAAGCAGAGGTTGCAGTAAGCTGAGATCGTGCCATTGCACTCCAGCCTGGGCAAGAAGAGAGAAACTCTGTCTCAAAAAGAAAAAAAAAAAGAAACAAGGAAAAGGAGAAAAAGAAAAAGCAGTATATTATTCAAGAAATTTTCAAAAATTGATTAAAAATACAAATCCCCATACATAGAAAGCATGATGAATCATGAACTGGATACATAAAAGAAATCCACATCTCTATTTACCAGATTATACAACTCCAGAGGACACTATCCACAGAGACACCACACAGATGGTGTGTTCCCTGGAGGTGTGCAACGCAGTAGCCCTAACAGTGAAACTGCAGAACACCAAAAGCAAAGAGAAGGTCCTAAAAGGAGCCAGAGAGAAAAGACAGACTAAAAAGGCACTAGACTGAGGTTGGTTTTTCAATAGCAACAATAGAAGCAAGAAGAAAGTGGAATAATATCTTCAATAACATCCTGTGAATCCATAAATATTTCAAAATAAAAAGTTAAAAACATTCAAGAGCTAATACACTGGACACATCAATAGCATGGAATCCAGGAGGGGTAATCAGAGATTAAGTGTTCTAAGGCCTTCATATTGTTTAGAAGGAAATTAAACATACAGATTCACAGCAGGGTGCAGGGGCTCACGCCTGTAATTCTAGCACTTTGGGAGGCCGAGGCAGGTGGATCACCTGAGGTCAGGAGTTCGAGACCAGCCTGGCCAACATGGTGAAACCCTGTCTCTACTAAAAATACAAAAATTAGCCAGACATGGTGGCGGGTGCCTGTAAACCCGGCTACTTGGGAGGCTGAGGCAGGAGAATCACTTGAACCCAGGAGGAAGAGGTTGCAGTGAGCCTGAGATCACGCCATTGCACTCAAGCCTGGGCAACAGAGCAAGATTCCATCTTAAAAAAAAAAAAAAAAAGATACAGATTCACTTTATATTTCGTTAAATTAAATGTTAAAAATTTAGAGTAAATATTAAAAGAATAGAAATCAAATAGAAACCAATAAAATGTGGGGGGAAATTAACATAAAAAATCAAGAAATAAGGGGGAAATACAGAAAAAGACACATAGGAAACATAAAAAAAGAAAGATATATAATAACTAAATCCATAATAAAAATAAGTTGGGTAAGCGCTCAATTCAAAAGACAAGATTTTCAGTTTGCATACCAAATCTAGCTATGTTTTTTTCTTTGTTTGTTTTGTTTTTTTTTTTTTTTTTTTTGAGACGGAGTCTCGCTCTGTCACCTAGGCTGGAGTGCAGTGGTGCAATCTCGGCTCACTGCAAGCTCCGCCTCCCGGGTTCATGCCATTCTCCTGCCTCAGCCTCCCAAGTAACTGGGACTAGAGGTGCCCGCCACCATGCCCAGCTAATTTTTTGTATTTTTTAGTAGAGATGGAGTTTCATTGTGTTAGCCAGGATGGTCTCAATCTCCTGACCTCATGATCCACCCACCTTGGCCTCCCAAAGTGCTGGGATTACAGGCGTGAGCCACCGCGCCCGGCCTAGCTATGTTATTTTTAAAGAGACATACCTAAATATAAGGTATGAAAGGTTTCATTGTTTTATTTGTTTCATTGTTTTATTTATTAAGGAAATCTTACTTTCTTTAATTTTATAATAGTTCTTTTATCAGGTTGACCAGTTTCCTCCCATCTTCTTATTCTTTAGGAATGATTTAGTTATTCTTGCCCCTTTGTATTTCCACATACATTTTAGAATCATTTTGACTTATTTTACATCCACTGAAAAGTTGAGATTACATTAAATTTAAAATTCATTTTGGGAAAAACTGAAATCTATACCTTCAAATCTCCCTATCCATAAACAAAGTATACCTCTTTTGTTTCAGAACTCTGTGTATTAGCCAAAGATCGCAGCATTTATTCATAGAAAACAGCTAAGTAGAAACAGTGAGTTTGAGGTGTTTGAATTTGCCCTACCTATCCCCATTCTTCTCTCTCCAGCTCTATGATAGTCTTAGAAACCCACAGCCCACAATCACGATGAAGACCAGCAACCTAGGAGCCGCTGGAGGGGGCAGAACAGGTTGGAGCTCCTTCAAAGCTTCATGCTCAGAAAACTGTCATTATTTAGCCTGGCCAGTAGTTCCCTAGAAGACCCTACTATGAAAGCTGTCTTTTTTTATTCTTTGTTTGTTTTTTATTTGAGACGGAGTTTTGCTCTTGTTGCCCAGGCTGGAGTGTAATGGCGTGAACTCAGCTCACTGCAAACTCCACCTCCCGGGTTCAAGCAATTCTCCTGCCTCAGCCTTCCGAGTAGCTGGGATTACAGGCATGTGCCACCACAGGCAGCTAATTTTGTATTTTTAGTAGAGACGGGGTTTCTCCATGTTGGTCAGGTAGGTCTTGAACTCCCGACCTCAGGTGATCCACCCGCCTCAGCCCCCCAAAGTGCTGGGATTACAGGCGTGAGCCACTGCACCCAGCCTGAAAGCTGTCTTTATTTGACCTTACTCAGAGCCTGCCCAGTATGAACAGCCTTTTCCCCAGCAGCATCTGTTAAAAAGATTTAGAGGTGCCAGGCGCAGTGGCTCACGCCTGTAATCCCAGCACTTTGGGAGGCCAACGCGGGTGGATCTCTTGAGTCCAGGAGTTTGAGACCAGCCTGGGCAAAATATTGAGACCCTGTCTCTACAAAATAATTTTGTAAAAATTAGCTGGGCATGGTGGTGCATGCCTATAGTCCCCGATACTCGGGAGGCTGAGGCAAGAAAATTGCTTAAGCCCAGGAGGTCGAGGCTGCAGTGAGCCATGATCACACCACTGGACTCCAGCCTGGTTGACGGAATGAGATCCTATCTCAAAAACAAAAAAAAATTTACAGGCAATTGTTGCACATTGTGGCTGCCGAAGCAGTAAGTAATAGCTGGTGACCACAATAAACTAACAAAAATGCTGAAAAAAAAGTTAGAGAATAAGATGTCCACAGTGAATTGGAAAAGCTCCAAAATATACCAGGGTATCTACAAGCCCAATGTACATGTATAGGATGTGCTCATACCCAGGGCTGTGCATTTGCTCAGGAAAGACTTTAGAAGGGGCTGGGCATGGTGGCTCACGCCTGTAATCCCAGCACTTTGGGAGGCTGAGGCAGGTGGATCACTTGAGGTCAGCAGTTCGAGACCAGCCTGACCAACATGGTGAAACCTCGTCTCTACTAAAAATACAAAATTAGCCAGGTGTGGTGGCGCATGCCTGTAATCCCAGCTCCATGGGAGGCTGAGGCAGGAGAATTGCTTGAACCCAGGAGGCGAAAATCGCAGTGAACTGAGATCGTGCCATTGCACTCCAGCCTGGGCAACAAGAGCAAAACTCCATCTCAAAAAAATAAAAATAAAAAACAAAAAACACTTTAGAAGGATCTAAGATCTCACCTCAAGCTGACCTTGAGGTTTTATACAAATAGGAAATGAAATCTAATGCAGAGTTGTCAGCTGCCTGGCTGAAAGTTGCAGGCATACCCCAGATGTACACAGAGCCGGCACAAAGACTGAGAGACGAATTGATTCCAGGCATCTAAGGAAACCTCGCCAAGCATTAGCTGATCACTATGCTAATTGAGCAGAGAAAAGGTATAGTAAAAATATGATATTATAATCTCATGGACCACCATCATAAATGCAGCCCAACACTGACCTAAATGACTTAACGACTTTACAGAATTAGTTCAGAAAAGTCACTAACCAACAACAACAAACAGCAATAATATCAAATCCTGAGGAGGGGATAAATCTGATTACCAGAGCTGCCACATTATATTATTTAAAATGTCTAGTTTTCAACAATTACAAGACATATACATGCAAAGAAATAAAAAAGTATGGCCGGGCACGGTGGCTCATGCCTGTAATCCCAGCACTTTGGGAGGCTAAGGCAGGCAGATCACCTGAGGTCAGGAGTTTAACACCAGCCTGGCCAATATGGTGAAACCCCATCTTTACAAAAACACAAAAAAAAGGCCAGGTGCAGTGGCTCAAGCCTGTAATCCCAGCACTTTGGGAGGCCGAGGCGGGCGGATCACAAGGTCAGGAGATCGAGACCATCCTAGCTAACATGGTGAAACCCCATCTCTACTAAAAATACAAAAAATTAGCCAGGCGTGGTGGCGGGCACCTGTAGTCCCAGCTATTCGGGAAGCTGAGGCAGGAGAATGGCATGAACCCAGGAGGCGGAGCTTGCAGTGAGCCAAGATAGCGCCACTGCAGTCCAGCCTGGGTGACAGAGCGAGACTCTGTCTCAAAAAAAAAAAAAAAATAGAAAAAAAAAAAATTAGCCAGGCATGATGGCGGGTGCCTGTAATCCCAGCTACTCAGGAGGCTGAGGCAGGAGAATTGCTTGAACCCGGGAGGCAGAGGTTGCAGTGAGCAGAGATCCCAACAATGCGCTCCAGCCTGGGCGATACAGCGGAGCCTCTGTCTCAAACAAAAAACAAACAAACAAACAAAAAGGATGGCCCATATACACGAGAAAAACAAAAACAGTCAATGGAAATTGTCCTTGAAGAAGTCCAGACGTAGGCCTTACCAAGCAAAGACTGAAAATCAGTTTTTAAATATGTTCAAAGAACAAAAGGAAACATCTGAAGAACCAAGGGAAAGTGTAAGAGCAATGTCACAATAAATAGAGAGTATAAATAAAGATAAAATTATTTAAAAGAACAAAACAAATTCTGGAGTTCAAGAGTACAATAACCATAACAAAAAATTCACTAGAGGGATTAAACAGAACTTTCAGTAAGCAGAAGAAAGAATCTGAAACTTTGAAACAGGTTAACTGAAATTAGTCTGAGAAACAGAATGAAAATAGATAAAGAAAAATGAACAGGGCCTCAGTGTACTGTAGGGCACCATCAAGTGTGCCAATATACATGGAAGGGGAGTACCAGAAGATAAAATAAAGAGAGTGGGGCAAATAAAATATTGAAAACTTCCCAAATTTGATAAAAAACATTAATCTATACTTAATCTTCATTAATCTAAAAAGCTCAACAAACTTAAAGTCACAATAAAAAGATTATCAAAAGGAAAGAAAAACAGATCAATTGCCACCGAGAGTTGGGAGGGGAAGTTAGCCACAAGGGGAATGAGGGAATTTTGAGGAGTAACGGAACTGTTTTATATCTTAATTTTGGTGGTGGTTATACAACTGTATGCATTTGTCAAAACACATAGAATTGCACACTAAAAAAGGTGACTTTACCTATTTAACTACATGTAAAGTATACCTCATTATACCTCATTTTAAACAAAAAAGAAGGCCGGGCACAGTGGCTCACGCCTGTAATCCCAGCACTTTGGAAGGCTGAGGTGGGTGGATCACCTGAGGTCAGGAGTTCGAGACCAGCTGCCAACATGGTGAAACCCTGTCTCTACTAAAAATACAAAAATTAGCCAGGAGAGGCAGCAGGCACCTGTAATCCCAGCTACTCAGGAGGCATGAGAATCACTTGAACCTGGGAGGCAGAGGTTGCAGTGAGCCGAGATCGTGCCACTGCACTCCAGCCTGGCCAACAGAGCAAGACTCAGTCTCAAAAAATAATAATAATAAACAGGAAATAAAGGAGCAGTAAAGAGCTCTAAAATAGAATCTTGGCTTTCTTCAACTTGGATATAATTGACTTCCCTTTCATTCGTATTCCAGTTATCGCTCATAAACATTTTCAGTGGCTTAAGCATTCATTAAATTTGCAAGCACACCTTGGTTTCACATTAGTCTGGTTGTTTTTATAATTGAAACAATAGATTCTGCCTTAAATAGTAATAAGAATGACGAACCTGTGATGTTCGGGGAGTAGCAGCACCTGTTGATAAATCATCTTCACACCAATCATAGTCTATTAATCCCGCCACATAATTTTTATCACTTGCGGTCACATCTTCCAGACTCCAATTATTTGACTACTCAATGAAAGACAGAAGAACTTAAAGATGACAGTACTATGATTCAATATTTAAAATACAGTCACGCGTCACTTAACGACAGAGACACATTCTGAGAAATGTATTAGGCAATTTTATCACTGTGTGAACATCATAAAATGTACTTACACAAACTGAGACGTCAGAGCCTACTACACACCTAGGCCACACCTAGGCTGTACGTTATAGCCTGTTGCTCCTACACTACAAACCTGTGTAGCACGTTACTGTACTGAATACAGTAGGTGGCTCTAACACAACAATAAGTATTTATGTATCTAAACAAATCTAAACAGAAAAAGGCCGTCCCCATGGTGGCTCATGCCTGTAATCCCAGCACTTTGGAAGGCTGACACAGGTGGATCACTTAAGCTCAGGCGTTGGAGCCAGTCTGGGCAACACGGTGAAACCCCATCTCTACAAAAAATAGAAATTAGCCAGGCATGTGCCTGTAGGCCCAGGTACTTGGGAGGCTTAGGTGGGAGGATCACTTGAGTCCACCAGGTGGAGGTTACAACAAGCAGAAATTGTGCCACTGCACTCCAGCCTGGGTAATACAGCGAGACTCTGTCTAAAAAAAAAAGAAAGAAAAAAAAAGAAAAGGTAGAGTAAAAACATGGTATTATAATTTTATGGGACCACCATCATAAATGCAGTCCAACGTTGTCTTTATGCAGCACAAAACTGTATTCCAGGCATAGGGCAAGGCCCTGGAAACAAAAATGAATAGGAGACACTATATTGAAGGAGCTGACCATCCAGTACAGAAAAAGGAAGTCAGAAAATTTCAGTTCAAATTATCAGAAAGGAAAACCTCCGACTCTCAAATAATATGTCTTGCAACATTCTTATGTTATATAGCATACTACTTTTCATTATCACATAATCACTATAATACCAGACAACTCTACTGCAAATTTACAAATAAAAAGATCTGACAAAGTAGAAGATGGAGGGGAAACAACTTCGAAATATAGGTTTCTTCTTTGTAAGAATATACAGGGTAGTGAATAATTTCTACCAGGAAGAAAATTAGCCTTATGAAGGATCTCCTAGGGATAGGACATTTGGGGTCTTGCGCTAACAACGCCACCAAAATAACTTCTGTTCTTTCATTCTTCCTCCTCTATAAACTAAGGGTATACTAATTATACCCTGAATTCAAGACTGTGGGTGTACTTGGAGTTTTTATTTCTCCTTCCTTCCTTTTCCCTCGATATATTGTTAATCTAGCCAAGCAATTTTACTTGAATTTCTTATATCTCATCCTTTTTTTCCCAAAGTCTCACTGCCACTATCCTAGATCAAGGACAAATCTTCTCATACCTAGACTATTCAAACAGACAATATTGTCTCTACCACTAATCTTTCCACTGTCTCAACCAAGGATGACAGAGTTCTCCAGGATTACCAATTACTGTCATTTGGAACTGGATGCATGGAGAGCTAGGCTGAGAAAAATCCTAAAGCTAAGTCTAGGCTTGGTGGGGAGAAGTACAGTGCTGTACGAATGACGGCTGTCATGGGTACTCCAGTAGGGACTAATAGCACACATATCACCCCTGACTAAACAATCGTATACACCACTGGATTAATTTTTCAAAATCATGTTCATTTCTCTCTCTCTTGCTCACAAATCAATGGCTCCTCATTAACTATTGAACAAAGTCTAAAATTCTGATGTGCATTTTCAGGTTCTCTACTATCTGGCTCTTGTCCACCCTTCCAGCTCACTTGCGTTCTCTCTCTCTCTCTCTCTCTCTCTCCCCCTACTTGAACTCTTCTTTTTTAACACAAGTCCAGCCACTGTCAACAGAATACATCAAGCAAAATTAGGTGCCCCTGCTTTTGCTGATTCCATTTATCTTGCCCTGAATGTTGTGCCACTTCTTTTCCATCTTTCTAACCTTGACTGTTGGTCCAGTTTGGATCCCATGGTGATCATTCCTGTCCTCTAAAGCTCCCCAGGACACCTCTGGCCACTTCTCTGGCCCCCATCATCTACTATGATGCAGTATTATCTATGTATATATATGTCTTGACTCTTAGAGAACAAGTATTATACTTTACACAGATATGTTTCCCAGCAGCCCAGCATGGGGCCTGAAAATGCTAATGACACTGATGATGATGACGTGGTTATTTGTGATTCTTGGATCAGTCTGTACTGCTGTTTCACTGAAAGGGCCACCTATTGATTGATTGATCGATCATGATTACTTACTTTCTTATAAACAACACCCCAGAGAAAAGGGATAATTCTATCAAGGGGAAGAACAGTACAACCAGACTATGTGACTTGCTTCGTGTCTCAATAATTTGCATAAAGATTAGAAGCGAACCCAAAATTTGATTTCTATTTCACTTCTTGTTACTAAAATGTCTCTTGATCTGCCATAAAATTGATTCAATAATATGACTTTGCAAATAATTAAATTATTAGTTAAATGTTCATTAGGGAGTAGATGGAAGATAAGAGTAAATATATTTCCAGGTCTTTTCCACTTACAACTCATATAAGCAGATCAATTGAGACCAGGCCAATTCAGATATAAGAAAATCCAGGCCGGGTGTGGTGGTTCACGCTTGTGTTCCCAGCACTTTGGGAGGCTGAGGCAGGTGGATCATCTGAGGTCTGGAGTTCGAGACCAGCCTGACCAACATGGTGAAATCCCATCTCTACTAAAAATACAAAAATTAGATAGGTGTGGTGGCACACACCTGTAATCCCAGCTACTCGGGACAATGAGGCAGGAGAATCACTTGAACCCAGGAGGCGGAGGTTGCAGCGAGCCAAGACCACACTACTGCACTCCAGCCTGGGCAACAAAGCAAGACTCTGTCTCAAAAAAAAAAAAAAAAAAAAAAAAGACAATCCAATGTCTCAGGAAAATGTCTCAGGCCCCTTAACTGAGGTGTCGTAAATTTTAAAATTTAGTGAAAGTGATTTTTCTAAGCATAGAGGTATACGTATCTAATAGCTTTCTCCAATTACCTTGAGCAGATGCAAAATTCAGGGTTTTGCATTTTCCTGGACCCAGATGTGTTACTTGCACCTGAAAGTTTAAAGGGTTTGGCAGTGTGGGTGGGATGAGGGATTGGCTGATTCAAGGAGCCCATGTGCAAAAGAGCTGCCTAGGCACAGAATATTTACCAGCCATTAAAACTCTCCAACAACAGACTAGAAAACCATGCAGGATATCTCCCTTCAGAGATTTCTTTACACAACAGCCAGTGCACTGACCAACTAGGGAGGGAAAAAGAGGGGCAGGTTAGTTCTGGCAGTGACATAAGACCCACTATACCTGTAGCACATGACTGATGAGTACCAAAAGGAGATCTAAATGAGATAGATATTAAAGGAATTTGAGGGAGGGGGAATTCAACAAAAGATCATAAAAGAGGTGGCATTTTAACATTTTTTGTTTTTTTTTTACAGTTTTGAGGCCTATAAAGGGGAAAAAAACCAAACTTTCATCCACACAGTCAATTGTGTTATCTTGGATTTCATAAACAGGGCCAACCAACTACCTTTCTCTGAGGATGAGGTACAATTTCCTAGTGCTAAGATTATTTACATTGCAACCTGAATTAATCTGAGGGAAGATGACATTACAAAGTTCCATACCCATCTGGCAAAGTATTTGGATAGCTGAATTTTAAGCCATGGGAAATACAAAGAATCACACAAAACAAGGACTAACACAAGCATTTAGGAATGACATGGTGCCTCTATGTATGTAAGCTTCTTCACCATTTTAAATGTCCATGACAGGCCAGGTGCAGTCACTCATGCCAATAATCCCAGCACTTTGGGAGGCAAAGGAGGGAGGACTGCTTGAGCCCAGGTGTTCAAGACCAGCCTGGGCAACATAGCTGGACTCCATTTCTATAGAAAATTAAAAATTAGCCAGGTGTGGTGGCACACACCTGTAATCCCAGCTACTAGGGAGGCTGAGGCAGGAGGATTGCTTGAGCCTGGAAGGTTAAGGCTGCAGTGAGCCATGATCACACCACTGTACTCCAGCCAGGACAACAAAGCAAGACTTTGTTTCAAAAAATAAAACAAAAAAATTTTTTAAAGTCCATGACAAAACTGAGACAAAGACAGTGAAGTAGAGAAAAATAATTTGGTTATAACAAACACTAATCAACATGCTCCATTTCAGTATGAAAATTTTAAAAGAAACAAAAACCTAAACCCTTAACATAAATATGAAAATATTTATCAAAATGTTTCATGTCATATAAAGTATTATATATTCCATATCACAGATCTTACTCCCAACAATTTTTTTGTTCTCTGCAATTCAATAATGTGTCCTTTAAAAGTACTTGAATGCGTGTAAAAGTATGCTTTAAAAAAAAGACTGGAAAGACACAATAAATATTAACTACATCCTCCACAGGTAGTTGGTTTATAGGTAAATTCTATTTTCCTTTTAGCTCATCTGTGGCTTAAGCATTTTCTTTTTTTTTTTTTTTTTTTTGAGACAGAGTCTTGCTCTGTCGCCCAGGCTGGAGTGCAATGGCGCAATCTCAGCTCACTGTAACCTCCGCCTCTCGGGTTCAAGCGATTCTCCTGCCTCATCCTCCCAAGTAGCTGGGACTACAGGCACTCATCACCACGCCTGGCTAATTTTTGTATTTTTAGTACAGACGGGGTTTCACCATATTGGCCAGGCTGGTGTCAAACTCCTGACCTTGTGATCCACCTGCCTTGGCCTCCCAAAGTGCTGGGATTACAGGTGTGAGCCACCACACCCGGCCTGGCTTAAACATTTTCTATAGCCATCAGGAATTGCTATTATGAAAAAAAAGGAGTCAGGGGAGGAGGTTTGTAAAATGCCATGTTAACATTCAGAATTTTAGAGGCCGGGCACGGTGGCTCATGCCTATAATCCCAGCACTTTGGGAGGCCGAGGCAGGCTGATCACTTGAGGTCAGGAGTTTGAGACCAGCCTGGCCAACATGGCAAAACCCCGTCTCTACTAAAGATACAAAAATTGGCCAGGCGTGGTGATGCACACCTGCAATTCCAGCTACTCGGGAGGCTGAGGCACAAGAATCGCTTGAATCCCGGAGGCAGAGGTTGCAGTGAGCTGAGGTCATGCCACTGCACTCCAGCCTAGATGACAGAGTGAGACTCTATCTCAAAAAAAAAAAAAAAAAAAAAATTAGAGTTCAACTTCAGAACTTCCCATTTTTCTCATCAAAAATATTGAAATCATAAAACATCTTGCCTCTGACTCCTTGACACCGGAAAGTTTACCTTCCCAGTGGTATACACACTCAGGAACAGGGAGGGCACGTGGCAAGACACAACAGGCAGTAACACTTACCTTGATGTCTGTGAATGGGGTAGCACTGGCTTGTCCACAGGAGAAAGAAGAAAGCCTTAAACGAACTGGTTTTCCCCGAGCCTTCTTGGCTAGAAGCAGAAGATAGGTAGCCGTGAGGTGATCATACTGCCACTAAAGGAAAAGAAAATCAAGTTGGTTAGAAGATTACTTGTTTGTGGAAATGATGTTCTATCTTTAATTAATTTTTTTCTTCAGTGTAACATTCAGAACTTTAAAAGCCAATAGGTTTACACAGCATATGATGAAAAACAGCAACCAGTGCACCACACCTCCACACACATACAATTTCCACTCCCCCTAAGGAACAACTTTCAAACACTTTTAGCTATTTCTTCTGCTATTAATTCTGTATTTCCAAACTAAATGCTTACATAGCTTAAAATTTTTTTCAGCTTCAGATAATATGTATAAATTTCCTAGTATGAGAAATATGAATTTAACTCTACTGCAACTCCCTCCCTTTCCCACACATCTCCTCCCTGTATCCTCCTACTATAATTTTATCACAATGTTTAGCTAAGTTAATATTTGCATTATTATGA
Source organism: Homo sapiens (assembly GCF_000001405.40). NCBI lineage: Eukaryota > Metazoa > Chordata > Mammalia > Primates > Hominidae > Homo > Homo sapiens. The sequence goes on along the minus strand of NC_000009.12, from coordinate 36,651,314 downwards.
TTATGTAAATAGCATTCACAACTAAGTAGGGATAATGTTCAAAATAGTTAATTGTTACCCTGACATCAACCATCAAAATAGAGGCCAAGAGGTCAGTAGGGTCCTGGGAGACGCCTGCCTTTCCAATTATTAATCTTTTAATTGTGAGAAGAGGGGAGGGAGTAGTGTCCAGGGAAGTAACAGGGCAACATGGAGGGCACTGAAGATAGTGGTTATTTACCAGTCAGTATATAAATACACTAATATTTTAACAACCAATGTGGTCATGCTGGCCGAATATCAGCTCTGCAGCTAAACCACACAGGGTGCTATTCTTGCATTTCCATTTTTTTATACCTTTGTTTTTCCTGAAGATAAAAATAAAAGTCAGTTATTCCTTACAAATTGAACTCCACCCTTTCCAACACTTTACCTCCTCTCAACATGTTCACACACATCTGCTAACTGCTTCCCCACTTAGAGAGATTCCACCTGATGTCTGCATCCTCTGCTCCACTCTGGACCGGCTTCTCAGCCAGCTACTCAATTGTCAGTCTAGGGATTCCTTTCACCTCTATCTTACAATGTAGCCCCAGTTTCCTAGATCCTAAGTATTCTTCTTTCTTGGTTTAATCTCTCATTTTTGTGGAACACATCCTCCAGTGACTTCCTGAGGGCGCATGCATGGGAAGTAAATTTTTTGAGATCTTGCATGTCTGATAAGTGACTACATTCTATCTTCACAATTGATTCTGATTTGGTTAAGCAGAGAATTCTGGGTTGATAATAATCTTCGCAGTTTTGATGGTAGTATACTCTTCTTGATTCTAGTACAGCTACTGAAAAACCTATAGTCATTTAGGTTTTGATTCTCCAGCCTTTTTGTATGAACTTTCATTTTTATCTTTGAAAACTTCCTGAATCTTATTATGAAATTCCACTAGAACAGGCCTTGGTGTGAATCTGTTTTCATCTACTGTTTCATCCCAGGTTAGGCCTCTTCATTCTTGAAAACTCATATTCTTCAGTTCTGGAATATTTCTCTTTTTTGTTTTTAATCTTAAATTTTTTTTTTAATTTTTAATAAAATAGAGGCCGGGTGCGGTGGCTCACCCCTGTAATCCCAGCACTTTGGGAGGCCGAGGCGGGTGGATCACGAGGTCAGGAGATCGAGACCATCCTGGCTAACATGGTGAAAACCCATCTCTACTAAAAATACAAAAAATTAGCCGGGCGTGGTAGTGGGCGCCTGTAGTCCCAGCTACTCAGGAAGCTGAGGCAGGAGAATGACGTGAATCTGGGAGACAGAGCTTGCAGTGAGCAGAGATCGTGCCACTGCACTCCAGCCTGGGCGACAGAGCGAGATTCTGTCTCAAAAATAAATAAATTAATTAATTTAATTAAATTAAATTAAATAGAGATAGGATCTCACTATGTTGCCCAGGCTGATCTTGAACTCCTGGCCTCAACCAATCCTCCCATCTTGGCCTCTCAGTTTTAGAATTACAGGCGTGAGCCATAGTGCCCGGCCTGGAATATTTCTTCTTGCATTATTTTCCCTTTTTTTGAGATAGAGTCTCGCTCTATCGCCCAGGCTGGAGTGCAATGGTGCAATCACGGCTCACTACAACCTCTGCCTCCTGGGTTCAAGCAATCCTCTCGCCTCAGGGTCCCGAGTACCCGGGATTACAGGCACATGCCACCACGCCTGGCTAATTTTTGTATTTTTAGTAGAGATGAGGTTTCACCATGTTGTCCAGGCTGGTCTCGAACTCCTGGTCTCAAATGATCCACCTGCCGCCTCAGCCTCCCAAAGTGCTGGGTTTACAGGCGTAAGCCACCGTGCCTAGCTGTTCTACTTTGCTCTGTCGCCCAGGCTGGAGTGCAGTGGCGCGATCTTGGGTCACTGCAAGCTCTGCCTCCCAGGTTCACGCCCTTCTCCTGCCTCAGACTCCCGAGTAGCTGGGACTACAGGCGCCCGCCACCACACCCGGCTATTTTTTTTGTATTTTTAGTAGAGACAGGGTTTCACCGTGCTAGCCAGGATGGTCTCGATCTCCTGACCTCATGATCTGCCCGCGCTGGCCTCCCAAAGTGCTGGGATTACAGGTGTGAGCCGCCGCACCTAGCCCACCAGGTTCTACTTTTAAAAGATTTCAAATGAATTTCATTTTCAAACACTTTTACTGAGCTTTTAATTTCTGTGGTCACATTTTAGATTTTCAAGAGCTATCTCTTGGAATGTTCATTTTTATTCATCTTATTCCTATGTCAAGAATGAAAATCACTTCTCTTATCTGAGAATATTAATTAGCAGTTTTTAGCCATTTTCTCCCGCTCCCTGCATATCTGGGGTTTTTTTTTCTCAGTATCTACTTTTTCTTCTTTCCTCTCCCCACCTTACTCCATTTGTTTTGATCTCCGACTTTCATGTTAGAAGTTTTCCTCAAATTTCTAGTGATTTTTGGTTGTCTGTTTCTACTTAAAAGTGAAGAATTACGTTACACAGCTGATGAGAGGTTCTATGTGTATGATGGGGCTGCTCAATACCTTGAAGGCTCCTCTCTAAGATGAACGGACAGGAACTTGAACTCCCAACCACTAATATAGTAGGATATTTATCTTAGCTTTTCCCTGGAGATAAATCTTCCAATATTTTCCCCACCATCACTGCAAATAGGATACAAATCCTGGTTTCAGCGTTCTCAAAGTTGAATAGGGAAGGGAATTTGAGATGGTGGTGCACTGTTCAATATGAAGACTTTGCGCATCCATTTCAGAATTGTTCATCATCCGCATCTGAGCTGTATTTGGTACAAGAATGCCTTGTGACCTCCAGTCTTCTGCCAGGATGCGGAAGAGGAGGCTGTTATGCAGCACAGGTAGAGAAAGGAATCTAGGGTTCTAACCCATCTTCCTGTTTTTCCTCTTCACTTCCCTGACTTCAGAGGCTCCTGGTACCTCTGATTCCTGAGCCTTTCTGGAGCTCTCATCAGTTTGCTTGATGCCTTTCTCACTGCAAGCACTTAGCTTTCAGCTTTCTCCAAAATGCTCTGACAACTACCACTTATACCACTAACCTATATCTTCCAAACTTCTAATGACATCCCTTTGTCTCCCCTTTTATTCTGCTTGTAAATATTTTGCCTTTTTATCCCTTTTTGTTAAGGTTTTAGGAAGTGTTCGACGTAAACTTAGCTGTTCAATCCACTATGTTTAATGAAAGTTTCTAAATAATGTACTGAGAAAACTATGGGGCTATCTGCCCTACAAAAGTGTTAACTTTTAACAGTACGGAATAGTCTTTCATGCTATGTAGCCCCCTCACAAAGTACATGACTCAAAAGTCAACTACCAACTCTGTTTTTAGTAATGAATTTTATTAGTTAATAACTTAGATGGCCACGATCATAGTATATGCTTTGAAATTTGCATAAATGGCCCAATCAATCTAGTAGGGGAAGCATAAAATAGTGTCATAAATTATGAAATGTTGCCTTTAATCCAAACAGGGTGAGGCAAAGAAAGGACAGTAAGGCTTCATGGCCGGGCACAGTGGCTCATACATGTTTTAATCCTAGCACTTTGGGAGGCTGAGGCGGGTGGGTCACTTGAAGTTAGGAGATCGAGACCAGCCCAGCCAACATGGTAAAACCCTGTCTCTACAAAAAATACAAAAATTAGCTGGGTGTGGTGGCAGGCGCCTGTAATCCCAGCTATATGGGAGGCTGAGGCAGGAGAATTGCTTGAACTCGGGAGGCGGAGGTTGCAGGGAGCAGAGATTCTGCCGCTGCACTGCAGCCTGGCGACAGAGGGAGACTCCATCTCAAAAAAAAAAAAAGAAAGAAAGAAAGAAAAGAAAAGAAGAGGCTTCATGGAGAAGGTGGCTGGGAAACTATGGTGGGGTGGAAAATATATACTTATAATCACTCTCCACTTTCCAAAAACTACATTAAAGACTTTTTCCCACCCCACATCTATGATAGCCCCATGTACGATAGCCACCTTTTTGAAAGAGATGTCATAAACTGACTAGAGACAATGGCTAAGAAACAAGTTGCCACTTTCTTATCAATGATGGCATGGCATAACCCAGGCATTGTAAACAATTCCTGGATAGTGCTAAGAGTTTTAGATGGAGTTTCCTAAACATGCCTAGGATTTCTACAACCATCCTCTAAACCCTCCTTTTCCCTAGGCAAAAAAAGCATCTTTTTCATAACTTTCTGGCCAGTGTCACTGTATACTTCTCATTATAAGATGCACAGGAGAGTTCTGTGTTCAATAACAGATAAATCAACACATTAGTTATGCTTTCAGGTGATGTCAATCCACAAGTCTAAGACAAAGGTTTCCCTTATCTTTTAGGCAATTCCCTCTTTTGAAAGTCAAATGTCTGAAAGTAAAGTGATAGGGTTACCTGTGAGAAAGTTCCATTTCTAGAAAACTAAAAACATTCTTAAATCCCCAGTTAAATGTTAAAGAGGTGTCCTGGCACCTGGGTTGAGGAGAGGCAGCTACTAGTGCAGAGGGGCACAGACACGGAGGAGTGGCCCCTACCCTTCCTCTGACCCTCCTCCTGAGGCCTTCAGTCTTTACACACATGGGTGTTTACATCACAGGGGTGGGGAAAATGGATCTGTCCTGGACTGAATAGGTTCTCGAACACACATGTGACCCTTAGTGAAGGTCCCCTAGCAGAGGACTGGCTGCTGCCACAATCCAGAGCCACTCAGGGCTGGAGGAACAGGAAGACAGTAAGGAAAGCACTGTTGGGAATCTCAAAAGGAATACAATGAGATCACTCAAAATCATGAGACATAGGAGGCTCACCGCTGCATAGAGAAAGCAGTTTCAGAGTGCTCCTGTATATAATATAAAAGTGGGAGTTCTTATAAGTTGAATGTTTGAGAGTAATATTGTTTCTCTCTCTCTCTGCACAAAGATCAGCAGCACCATACCAGCATATGGATCACACAGAACTAATCTCTCTCTGTCCTGTCTAATCAGCCCCAAAAGTGAAGGCAGAGCTCTCAGGATGTCACAGAAAAACATAACAGACCCTGGCTAGTCTCAAACCTGGTTTTCCTGAGGCTCTTCAAATTGGAAAGTATGTAGAGCCAGTATGAATTCTCTGAGCTACCCAGACAAGGGTTTCTCAACCTTGGCACTATTGACATCTGACCTGGATAACTGTTTGTTGTGAGGGGCTCTTCTGTGCATTGAAGGATGTTTGGCAGCATCCCTGGCCTCCACCCGCTAGATGGCATTAGTACACATACACAAACCCCAGTTACGACAACCAAAAATGTCTCTAGTCACTGCCAAATGCCCCCTGAGTGCCAAAATCACTCCTGGTTGAGAACTGAGCTAGACCAATGCTTCTGAAGCTTTACTAACCATATGAACCACTTGGAGATTTGACACAGATTCTGATTCAGTAGGTCTGAGGTGAGGCCTGAGAGTCTTCGCGGCTAAAAAGCACCTGGATGCTGCTGCTGCTGGTCCTAGGCCACACTTTGAACAGCAAGGATCTAGAGCACTGCTTCTCGACTCTGGCTGCGTACCACAGTCAGCTGGGAAGATTTCTAAAAATTCTCATGCCTCGGCTATACCCTAGACCAACTGAATCATCATCTGTGGGGTTGAGACCTAAACATCAGAATTAAAGTTCCCAAGAAATGCCACTATACAGCCAAGGTGAGAATCTCTGATCTAGAGTGAGTAGCCTATAACCTACTCATCCCTGGGACTCAACGAAGTATGAACAGGGATTTAAGAATGAGAAAAGAGTACAAAGGAAGAAAAACTATTACTTTCCTCACTACATTCTTGATGTTGGTCATGCTTAACTTTCAGAATAACTGAGAAGATCTTTAGAGAACTGTAACACCAGGAAACAACTTCTACTATGCTTTGTTATGTTTTATGCACCAGAAGGAAAGCAAATAATTTGTATTTCCATTTCACTTTTAAGTCTGAAAATTATAGGTAGAGACGTCATAAAAGATACCATTTTAAAGACTTTTTCAATGATTATTGAAACTCTAAATATGTTACTTTTTTTTTTTTTTTTTTTGAGACGGAGTCTCACTCTGTCACCAGGCTGGAGTGCAGTGGCGTGATCTTGGCTCACTGCAACCTCTGCCTCCCAGGTTCAAGCCATTCTCCTGCCTCAGCTTCCCGAGTAGCTGGGATTACAGGCACGTGCCACCACGCCCGGCTAATTTTTGTATTTTTAGTAGAAACGCGGTTTCACCATGTTGGCCTCAATCTCCTGACCTCATGATCCGCCCGCCTCGGACTCCCAAAGTGCTGACATTACAGGCATGAGCCACCGCGCCCGGCTTAAGTATGTTACTTTTAAGATTCAGATTTTTAAAGTTTGTAGATCTCATACCAATTTGTCCTGGATAAACTGACATGCTATCTGGGATTTACGTGGAAATATCCCAGCTGGAAAGGGAAGAAGGGAGAAAGTGGTAGGATATAGATTAAATTGGCAAAATGTTATTAACTATTGGAACTGAATGATGAGAACATGGAAACTCAGTGTTGTTATACTATTCTCTCTACTTTGGTGGGTAAATTTTTCTATAATAACATTTTTTAAAATTTCAGTATCTAAAGTATAGTCTTCCATTAAAGATTATCCCAAAGAAAATGTCCTACAATTTATTTTTTCAGGTTGCTTAAATGGAAACTTCAAATTTTCACTAATGAAAGACTGAGGACCACACAAATCTTACAGCAATTCCCAAGTCTTACTATTTCCCTAAAGGCATTATCCATGAAAAAGTAAATTATACTACCATTTCCAGATACATTCTGTGTGTCTTTACTTATTATGTCATTCAGAAGAATTCCTTTATATTTTCTCCTTACTGAAAAGAATTGTGCCTTAGCAAAGCTTTGTTTAATTTTTTAAAAAAATTGCTTAAGGACTCCACCTTGCAAGTTAAAGAACAGATAAAGCAAACATAAATCACAGGTGATAGAAGACATAGTACTGGGCCAGGAACAAAGTGAGGTACAAGTCACCCTTCACATTAGAGACAGCTGTGACTGCCTTGATCTCTTAAAACACACACACACACACACACACACACACACACACACACACACAAAACACAGGTATGATCTAGAGACTGAGCATCTGAAAGAGCCAAAATAATCCAACACCAGAAATCATGATAATGCTTTCATGGTATTTGGTTTGTCCACTTAGGGGTGACGTGACGCTGCTGTTGCTTTCAGGTGAAAAGAAAATTGCTTTGTGTTTACCTCATTTCCACAGCAGAAACCCAGTTGCATGTTAGAGAACTTTAAAGTAGTCAAAATTAGAACTCTGTCCATTCTTTGTGCACTAGTTTGTTGTTTCTTTTCTTTTTTTTTTTTTTTTGAGATGGAGTCTCACTCTGTCGCCCAGGCTGGAGTGCAGTGGCGTGATCTTGGCTCACTGCAAACTCCGCCTCCCAGGTTCACACCATTCTCCTGCCTCAGCCTCCCAAGTAGCTGAGACTACAGGCATCTGCTACAACGCCCGGCTAATTTTTTGTATTTTTAGTAGAGACGGGGTTTCACTGTGTTAGCCAGGATGGTCTCGATCTCCTGACCTCGTGATCCGCCCACCTCAGCCTCCGAAAGTGCTGGGATTACAGGCGTGAGCCACCGTGCCCGGCCAGTTGTTTCTTAATTATTTTTTCACTGTAATTCTTCTTCATCAATGTTTTAAGTATGGAGTGTTCATTTTTAAAGAAGATATCTAGCACACATCAGGACTGTGTGGAAATCATATGTAAATATTTTTTAAATGCAATATTTGTACCCATAATAAAATCACAGGTCTGAAAATGCTATACTATTTTTCATGTACTGATAAAATAAAGAACAATGAAACAAAAGATACTACTCTCAAATTGGTGCTGTATTTTTTTTCTTTTTCTTTTTTTGAGATGGAGTTTAGCTCTTGTTGCCCAGGCTGGAGTGCAGTGGTGTGATCTCAGCTCACTGCAACCTCTGCCTCCCGGGTTCAAGTGATTCTCGTGCCTCAGCCTCCCAAGTAGCTGGGATTACAGGCACGTGCCACCACACCTGGCTAATTTTTGTATTTTCAGTAGAGATGGGGTTTCACCACATTGGCCAGGCTGGTCTCGAACTCCTGACCTCAAGTGATCCTCCCACCTCGGCCTCCCAAAGTGTTTGGATTACAGGCGTGAGCCACTGCGCCCAGCCCATGCTGTATTTCTTACCAGTGAAATTAAATCCTCCATTGTTTGCCTGTTGTTTCTGTGATGTACAGAAAGTTCTGTTACGCAATCATCATCGAGGTGAATAAACTACAAAAAAAAATTATGCACTTTATTAACAAAAAATTACAAATATATTCAATGTTTTCACATTTTAAAATCAGCATAATTACTTTATACAATCAAATATCATTATGTAAAACATGAATCTGTCAATTTCTTGGGGAAGAATCAATATTCTCTATAATCTTTTAAGAAGTAAGCATATTCCAGCAAGCATTTCAAGAAGATGTGCTCTTTCCCAACTCTTTATCCCCATCATCATCTGAGCAACTGTTGTTAAAGTTCGGTTGTACAATGCCGGGCACAATAGTTCACACCTGTAATTCTAGCATTTTGGGAGGCTGGGGCGGGCAGATCACCTGAGGTCAGGAGTTTGAGACTGGCCTGGCCAGCATGGTGAAACCCCATCTCTACTAAAAATACAAAAATTAGCCAGGCATGGTGGCGAGCATCTGTAATCCCAGCCACTTGGGAGGCTGTGGCACAAGAATCACTTGAACCCAGGAGGCGGAGGCTGCAGTGAGCTGACACTGTGCCACTGCACTCCAGCCTGGGCAACAGAGCGAGACTCTGTCTCAAAAAAAAAAAAAAAAAAAAAAAAAAAAGTTCTGTTGTACAGCCCAGGGACTGTATACTCCCCTTCCCTACCACAAGACCTGCATTGGTATTTTCATCAAAGAGCAGCCACCTAGGCATCTAAAATCAGTGGCTATACAACAGACTGGTAAAAGAGTGATTCAAACTTGTAGAGCACAGGGTACCTCAGGTTATGTTTATGTTTAGCACAATTCAAGGAGCCTTTACGATGGTGCCATAGATGCCACACGATCGTTATTTTGCTGGACCACAACTTTAAAAAAGAATATAAGTAAGAGCCTCTATACAAAATTCATTTTGCTTAAGGACAGAAATTATCCAAATAATCCCTACATGATGGTACCTCACTAAAGGTAGGGCTGGAAATGGGTTCTCAGAACCAAGCAAGGATCACTGAGAACAAAAAGGCAGGAATCAGGAATAGCCTGGCCTGGACCTGGAAGGGAGCTCAGAAGATTACACAGGAAGAGAAGCAGAGGAATACAACTTTAAAGTTCATCTTTCCAACATAACTCTCTTAGGCCAGGTGCGGTGGCTCACGCCTGTAATCCCAGCACTTTGGGAGGCCGAGGTGGGTGGATCATCTTAGGTTGGGAGTTGGAGACCAGCCTGACCAACATGGAGAAACCCCGTCTCTACTAAAAATACAAAATTAGCCAGGCGTGGTGGTGCATGCCTGTAATCCCAGCTACTCAGGAGGCTGAGGCAGGAGAATCGCTTGAACACAGGAGGCGGAGGTTGTGGGGAGCTGAGATCAAGCCATTGCACTCCAGGCTGGGCAACAACAGTGAAACTCCATCTCCAAAAAAAAAAAAAAAAAAAAATCTCTCTTTATGGCAGCCCGAGTGAGGGATGCTTTATGTTCTGCTTAAAGGCCTCCTCTCCAGGGTACACAGAACAGCTGGAATGGTTAGCATCTCCCTCCTGCTGCCTGAGGTCTGTCTCCCTGTGATCTCTGTCCACTGGGAATTGGTACAAACTGATGGCTAACAGGCTTGGGAATTAGACAGACCTTAGTTTTAATTGCAACAGGACTTAATAACCATGCGGCCTTGAACATGACCACACCTCTGAGTCTCAGTTTCATCATCTGCTAGAGAGAGATGGTATGTGCCCTGCAATATATGCAACATAGAGCAAGCGCCTAGTACAACATCTCAACAGAGTAGGCCCTCAAAAACTGGTTATTTTCACCAACAGTCATAATTCTATTTCCTCTGTGCTAAAAGAGCCTTTCAGAAATTTGCGTATTCCTATTATAAGCAACCTTTCCTCTGCAAGTCTTCCGTTTTCTAGTTCCGCCAACCTCCACTTTAATGATTAACTCCCCTTACTATTCTGGCCCTTTCTTTAGATCACACTCCAGGTTGATACTACACATCAAAGTGAAGTATTCAGAACCAAACATAACAAGAAAGAGAGGTCTGCCCAGCACAAGGCAGGGCAATATCATGAGCTTCCCTTGTTTTGAACATCACACTTGTAACAACAAGCTCAAGAGAAAGGCTGCCATCATGAAAAGAAACAGTAAAGACAAATTTTTCCCCTCAATTCATACGCTGAAACCTAATCACTAGTGTAATAGTATTAGGAGGTTGGGTCTTTGGGAGGTGAGTAGGTCACAAGTGGGCTCTGCCCTCATAAATGGGGTTATTACACTTATAAAAGAGGCCCCAGGCCAAAGTACAATGGCTCATGCCTGTAATCCCAGGGCTTTGGGAAGCTAAGGTGGGAGGATCACTTGAAGCCAGGAGTTGGAGACTGGCCTGGGCAATACAGCAAGACTCCATTACTACAAAAAAATATTCAAAAATTAGCCAGGTGCGATGGCTCACATGCGTAGTCCTAGCTACTCAGGAGGCTGAGGTGGGAGGATCACTTGAGCCCAAGAGTTCAAGGTTACAGTGAGGTATGATCAAGCCACTGCACTCCAGCCCAGGTAAAAGAATGAGACCCTATCTCTTTAAAAAAGAAAAAGAAACAGAAAAGAAAAGAAAGAAAAGAGGCTCCAGAGGCCTTTCCCCTTTCTCCCGTTCCACCACGTGAGGACACAGCAAGAAAGAGCCATTCTATGAACCAGAAAGTGGGCCCTCATCAAACACCAAATCTGCTGGTGCCTTGATCTTTTTTTTCTTTATTTTTACTCTCCAGAACTCTAGCTCTATGATGCCTTGATCTTGAACTTCCCAACCTCCAGAACTGCAAGAAATAAATTTCTGTTCTCTCTAAGCCACTCAATTTATGGTATTTTGTCACAGCAGCTCAAACAGACTGAGAGAGCCTTGCATTATTGACTGGTATAAGCACAACCTCATGGGTTACAAAGTAGAGACCACAAAGGTTTATACTAGTGGTACTGTTAAAGTCCAAAGTGCTAAGAATAAGTTTTCATTGTGCTGCTTTGACTATGACCGCTCCTAGAACTGTAGATTTCCCCTCAAGATGGTCTCAACCTCAGAAGCCTAGACACCTTAATACCTGGTATCCTCTTGTTGATGTCAACACTGCTCAAGCAAGAAAATAAATTTTTGAGGTTCCCTCCATCATCTTAAGTGTAAAAAAAAAATATTTTTTTAACTGTAAAAGAACCCCTCTCTCCCGCAGCCTCCTGCCTGTACCTTTACCACAAGGCATATGTGTGAGAAAGGCAGGAGATGGAAGAAGGAGGTTCTACTATCTCTGCTGGGCTCCTGAACTGGAAACAATGAAATGAGTGTGGTAGAAAAGATACCAAGGGTCTAAAAAACATGATTAATCTCAAGCTGTGTCTTCCAAAGAGGATCAATACTTAAAGCGCTCTGAATCCTCAGCCACACATACTCAAATTAAGTACAAAACTGCATACCAAAAGCTAGCCAATTATTTTGGATTATCTGTGCCTACTACATTTCCTGTTCGCCAGGGCAGAAAATGAAACTGACTATAATTTCTATTTGATGCAATACTTGGGTACCAGAACTATGTATGAAAATGGTAGGAGGCGATCATGCGTAGAGTTACAGAACAGACAGCATCTATACCTTAAATATTCAAGGAAATCTGAATTTTTTTTAATAGTTCACTCTTGATGAAACACAACACTGAAAGAGAAAAGCAAATCCTTTAAAAAGCAACAACAATTCATTATGCCTCTCCTGTATATAATTCATTTGATCCTGTAACAGCTCTGCAAGGCAGGCAAAAGAGATTAATGATACAACATGTAAAGTTACTCTATAAATGGCAAAACATGACCCAAACATACACAGATTGACATTAGAATACCCATATTAGAGGTGATAAAATGAAGACTCAGAAAAGTTACTGTGATCTGCCTAAGACTGGCATTTTTCATTCCTAGCCCCAGGTTTTCCTACCATAACACAATGCCACCTCTCCATCACTCTGCTCCAGTAGCTACTTCAACAGACACCAGATAAGCAATGCTCGCCACAAAGGCTGCAAATACACAGGACGTGGGCCCTGAGCTTGAATCAGCTAGCCTATCAGATCCATTCCATTCCAGAACCCTTCGGTGTGCGTTTAAATCCTGGTTCTACACTTACTCGTTGTTTGACCATGGGCAAGTTACTTAATGATTCTGTGTCTCAGTTGCCTCATCTGCAAAAAGGGGCAATAATAGTACCTTCTTCGGAGGATTGGCGTACAGATTAAATGGATTAAAGGAGTTAACACAACATAAAGCCCATAGGATAGTGCCTGACTCTTAAAGGTACTATCCTAACAGTTCTACCTATATTTTACCACAGTATAATATACAGAGAGCCCTTACTAAAATAGTACACTATTCTACTCTACGTGCTCAGTAAATAGTAGCAATTATTAAATTAAGATGTAAGGGAGGCTGGGCATGGTGGCTCACATCTGTAACACCAGAACTTTGGGAGGCTGAGGTCGGCCGATCACCTGAGGTCGGGAGTTAAAGACCAGCCTGACCAACATGGATAAACCCCGTCTCTACTAAAAATACAAAATTAGCTGGGCGTGGTGGCGCATGCCTGTAATCCCAGCTACTCGGAAGGCTAAGGCAGGAAAATCGCTTGAACCCAGGAGGAAGAGGCTGCGGTGAGCCGAGATCACACCACTGCACTCCAGCCTGGGCAACAAGAACGAAACTCCATTTCAAAAAAACAAACAAAAAAAAGATGTAAGGGAAACTGTATACTCTTTTGGAACACTCATAACTTTATATATTTTACTTTATACTGTGTCCCAAATAAAAAAAAACTCTTGGGGTTGTAGAAAGCAGAGACTTTCTTCATTTTGGCATCTAACACAAACAGTAATGTATTCTATCCTATTAGGATCATGGCTGAGAAGATGTGCAAAGCCCTCCGCACATGGAGAAATGATGACCCCCAATGGCTGAACACAGGCATTTGCACCACCCACTCTCTCCACCTCACAAGGGGCACATCACAGCTTCCCTGGTTCTGCTGCTACACTGCTCAGACACTTGCACATTCTGCTTTTCTTAGGATCTTGGTGTGGTTGCTGTTAGAATTATGTTATATTTGCTCAATAGATATTAAAGATGTCATGTAGGGCTGGGGGAATTTAGATAACAGAAGTTTTAGGAGTTGACAGTCATAGGAGAATCAGGAGTGATTTCAGCTCAGGCCACATGGCCCATTAATAGTGGGCAGAACAGTGAGAAAGGGCTTGGAGCAAGTATAGTCTATCTTTCCAAGACGAGCTGGCTACTGGGAAGGATATTTACATTGGTGTGATTATTCCAGAAAGCAAATACCCCACAGCTCTACCAATTCTATGCTGTGGCATATCTGAGACACACCTCTAAGCTGTTGTGTTGATTCATGCACATGTCCTAGTCCACTGCAAAAGTTTTGGTGACATATCAGAGAATATCCCCAATTATCTGGAAACACTATTAAAATACTTCTATTTTTTCTAATTACATATCTGTGTGAGGCTGTATTTTCTTCATTTGTTTCAATCAAAACGATGTTATCAAAACAGGCTGAATGCAGAAGCACATGAGTTGTCTTCTAATAAGACAGACTTCAAAGAAATTGGCAAAGATGTAAAGCAATGCCACTCTTCTCACTACATTTATATCTTAAATAGTTGCTTTTCATTTTTCCGTTCCCTTATCTATAAATAGGGAATAAGAATTGTACAACCTTGAAAGATACACCTTCCATAGTGGCTCTGGGCTTTGTCACATGGCTTGCTTTGGCCAGTGGAACATTAGTAAGTACAATGCAAGCAGAAGCTTGAAAAATGCTAGAGCACTAGGGCTTATCCTCTTTCTTCTTTTGAAATCTAGTTGCTGGCCGGGTGCAGTGGCTCATGCCTGTAATCCCAGCACTTTGGGAGGCCGAGGCAGGCGGATAACAAGGTCAGGAGATCGAGACCATCCTGGCTACCATGGTGAAACCCCGTCTCTACCAAAAACACAAAAAATTAGCCGGGTGGTGGCAGGCACCTGTAGTCCCAGCTACTCGGGAGGCCGAGGGAGGGGAATGGCATGAACCCGGGAGGCAGAGCTTGCAGTGAGCAGAGATCGTGCCACTGCTCCAGCCTGGGTGACAGAGTGAGACTCGGTAAGAAAGACAAGAAAGACAAGAAAGACAAGAAAGACAGAAAGAAAGAAAGACAGAAAGAAAGAAAGACAGACAGAAAGAAAGAAAGAAAGAAAGAAAGAAAGAAAGAAAGAAAGAAAGAAAGAAAGAAATCCAGTTGCTACATAAAAAAGTCCAGGTTAGCCTGATGGACACATGTGGCCCAGGAAACAGCCAGTCTTTCTAGTGAGGCTTGGACCATTCAGCCCAGTTACAAGATGACTGTAGCCACGACCCCAGGTAAGGCCTACATAAGAACAGCCCAGCTGAACCCAGCCCAAATATCTGGTCCACAGAACTGTAAATTATTACTGTTTTTTTTTAATTAATTTATTTTTTGAGGCGGAGTTTCGCTCATGTTGCCCAGGCTGGAGTGCAATGGCGCAATCTTGGCTCACTGCAACCTCCGCCTCCCAGGTTCAAGTGATTCTCCTGCCTCAGCCTCCCGAGTAGTTGGGATTACAGGCATGCACCACCACGCCCAGCTGATTTTGTATTTTTACTAGAAACGGGTTTCTCCATGTTGGTCAGGCTGGTCTCAAACTCCCAACCTCAGGTGATCCACCTGCCTCGGCCTCCCAAAGTGCTAGGATTACAGGCGTGAGCCACCGTGCCCAGCCAAATTATTGTTTTAAGCCACTAAATTTCAGGGTAGTTTTTAATGCAGCAATAACTAATACACAAAATATCCAAGTCCTATAGTAATATCCACATTTTTACCAAGTGGCCATTTGTTTGAAAAAAAGCATTTTTAAGGCCAGGCACAGTGGCTCACGCCTGTAATCCCAGCACTTTGAGAGGCCAGGGCAGGCAGGTCAGGAGTTCAAGACCAGCCTGGCCAACACAGTGAAACCCCGTCTCTACTAAAAATATAAAAATTAGCCAGGCATGGTGGCACATGCCTGTAGTCCCAGCTACTCGGGAGTCTGAGGCAAGAGAATCACTTGAACCCAGGAGGCGGAGGTTGTGGTGAGCTGAGACTGCGCCATTGCACTCCAGCCTGGGCATCAGAGCGAGACTCCATCTCAAAAAAAAAAAAAAAAGCATTTTTTAAAAACAATGTAGAAATAGTATTTTTTAAATTGTTTAAACTTAAATAACACTTGGTGTTGTTTATGTTTTTTTACATATACGCATATTAGACCAGTTCTCAAAGCACGGTCTGCAGATGCCTGAGAGTCTCCAAGGTCAAACTATTTTTATAATAATATTATTTTTCATTTTTCAAAGTGTTGACATTTGTATGGATGGTACAAATGCAGTGATAAAATTGCTGGCAGCTAGGTGCAGTGGCTCATGCCTGTAATCTCAGCATTTTGGGAGGCCAAGGCAGGCGGACCACCTGAGGTCAGGAGTTCAAGACCAGCCTGGCCAACATGGTGAAATCCCATCTCTACTAAAAATACAAAAATTAGCCAAACGTTGTAGCAGGCGGCTGTAATCCCAACTAATCGGGTGGCTGAGGCAGGAGAATTGCTTGAAACTGGGAGGCGGAGGTTGTAGTCAGCCAAGATCGTGCCATTGCACTCCCGTCTGGGCGATAATAGCGAGATTCCCACTCAAAAAAAAAAAAATTAAAATTAAATAAATAAATTGCTGGCACCTTAGTATGAATCAATGCAGTGGCACCAAACTGTACTAAAATATTGTATTCTTTGTCATATACCCATAGTTCGAAAAGAAGCCAGTTTCAATTAAGAATTTCCTTGATAAACCAGTAAAATATATTAATTTTATTACATTTCTGAGTACGTTTTTAATACTCTGTGTGACTAAATAGGAAGTAGCATAATGTACTTCTACAATACCAAAGTTTGATAGCTGTCTCGAGGAAAAGCACCTGTATGACTGAATTATGAGCTCAATTAGCCATTTTTTTCTTTTTCTTTTTCTTTTGAGATGGAGTCTCACTCTCCTCCCGGGTTCAAGCTATTCTCCTGCCTCAGCCTCCTGAGTAGCTGGGATTACAGGTGTGTGCCACCACGCCCAGCTAATTTTTGTATTTTTAGTAGAGACAGAGTTTCACCATATTGGTCAGGCTGGTCTCGAACTCCTGACCTCATAATCTACCCGCCTGGGATCCCAAAGTGCTGGGATTACAGATGTGAGCCACTGCACCCAGCCTCTTTTCTTTTTGAAACAGAGTCTCGCTCTGTCACCCAAGGCTGGAGTGCGGTGGCGCTCTTAGCTCACTGCAACCTCTGCCTCCCGAGTTCAAGCAATTCTTCTGCCTCAGCCTCCTGAGAACCTGGGATTATAGGCACTACCATGCCAGCTAATTTTTTGCATTTTTAGTAAAGATGGGGTTTTACCATGTTGGCCAGGCTGGTCTGGAACTCCTGACCTCAAGTAATACGCCTGCCTCAGCCTCCCAAAGTGCTGGGATTACAGGTGTGAGCCACCGTGCCTGGCCTAATTAGCCATTTTTTTCAAAGAACACCATTTTGATGAGAAAGAACACGGACTAACTATAGTTATTTAGACTTAAATGTTCAGCAGACATTTTCTCAAAAATGAACCAAGGGAATTTGTCAGTTCAAGGAGAATGACATATTTGTTGTCAATGATAGAATTTTAGCTTTTAAGCAAAAATTAGAATTTAGAAAACTTTTATTTGCCACCATGATCTTGAGTGCTTTCCAATAGTTAAAGACTTTTCTACTGAGATCAGTAGTGATTTTAAGGAATGTGATTTAATGTTGTATAACGAAATGTGTTAACGTTTGGAAGATTTGCATAACTCAGCAAACCAGTGTTTTCCAAATAACCAATGCATCATGTTATGTGAGGAAAAGATCCAATGGACAGAACAATGGATTTTATGGAATACAGTACAAAATTTCATTGATATGGCTTCAGATTCCACATGCAATTACCCTTTAAGAAACTACCATTTGTCAAGTTTTAATGGGCTATCAGAAACTGTCTGAATGGCTATTAGAATTTTTCTTCCTTTTCCTATTGCATATCTGTGTGAGGCTGCATTTTATTCCTTGGCTTCAATCAAAACAACCTATCAAAACAGACTGAACACAGAAGCAGGTGGCTATACAGGTGTCTTCTATTAAGCCAGACTTTAAAGAAATTTGCAAAGTTGTAAAACAATGTCATTCTTTTTGCTAAATTTATTTTGTAAATGGTTATTCTTCATAAAAATATTTGTGTTAATATGCAATAGTTTTATCATATTAGTTTTTAATGAATAAATAAATATTAAGAGTATAAAGGGATCCTCAAACTAAAAAGTTTGAGAACTACTGTACCCTCATAACTTCTCTGGGAAGTAGAACTGGTTTAACCTACTTTTTACAGATGAATAAATAGGTTCTGCAAAGTTAAGTAACTTGTCCAAGATTCCCAGAGCACTGTGACTGACTGCACATGAGAAACACCTGGGAGCTTTTAAAAACTCCCATTAAGTGTTCTGGGATGGGGAGCAGGCATTTCTTTTTAAGGTCCCAGGTAATTCTCATTTGCAGATGGGGTTAAGGAACCACTGTCCATTAGGTTACAAGTCTCCCAAACACCAATCTGATTAATATATTTTCTTGTATATTTAGACCACATCATTGTAGGTTCTGAATTCACCCAAAGACCACACAAAGTCAAAAAAAAATTCTACTGGATTTCATTTTACTTACAGGATTCTTGCTTTGCCACTCAACAGGATAGTTGTAATCTTGCATGATCCAGGGATGGTTCAATAGATTTTTCATAGAAATCCGTTTCTTTGGGTCCACC
The DNA here is from genome assembly GCF_000001405.40 of Homo sapiens. Classification (NCBI taxonomy): domain Eukaryota; kingdom Metazoa; phylum Chordata; class Mammalia; order Primates; family Hominidae; genus Homo; species Homo sapiens. Next base: position 36,633,100 of record NC_000009.12, on the reverse strand, counting down.
TAGTGGCCATTAAAAAGTAGCTAGAGATTAACATTTCAAATAGAGAACATAGAACACCTTTCCTCCTGAAAACTAAAAATGCATCAGAACAGATGTAAACTTTATCATCACAAAAATGCTGTCAAAGACTTTAAAATGGCCTTGGAAGAAATTCTTTTAAAAAGGCAACAGAGGCAAGAAAACTATAGCAACCAACACAGGCTTAGAAGATAAATGTTTAACAAACATGAACTTCATTGGTATGGACATTATTCGTGAAGTTCAATCTATTGTATGATGTAATAGTCTTTTGCTGGAAAACCTATTCACGGGAAATATTCACCAATTAAACATTCAAGCAGCCACAATGCAGGGCATTCATACTGAATATGCAATCTCTACCTCCAATGAGCTTACAATCACACAGAACAAGTTGAAAAGCACACCTTTCCATTTGTAATTTTCAAATGTAAGGAGAGAAAAATTAATCAACAAAGATTAACGTTATTTTGGAGTCTAGAAGAAAGAGTAAGGCATTTTCAATCTCATTACGGAGATTTGGTGGTCTGGCCCTACTTAATCAAGGTGAGTGAGCCTGAGGTAAATTTTGAATAAAAGATGGAGATGACTTAATAGATGAAAAAACCAGAAGATATTCTGAATACATAATGAAAAAAAAATTGCACTAAGAAGATACTCATATTTTCAAAGTGTTTCCTATCAATCTCATTTTGTCCTTATAACACTACATAGCAGTGAGGCCAGGCTCAGAACCCCCATTTTATAGATCAGATTAGGTGATACATTGATTAATTGGTAGAGTGCTTACCTAGGCTTCAGCACTCCTATCTTTCACCCTCAGAGGCTCATTCCAATAAATCTGTGGTTCTCAAAGTGTGGCCCCAAGACCTGCAGCATCAGCATCTTCTGGGAGCTTGTTAGAAATGCAAAATTTCAGTCCTGCCTCAGATCTATTGAATTACACACTCTGGGGCTGGAGGCCAGCAATCTGTATTTTAACAAGCCCGGGGTAATTTTGATATCTGCTGAAGTTTGAGAACCACTGCACTAGGTAACAGGGCCCATTCAATAGTACATCAACTCATTCAAGTATTTATTCAGTATCTACTAACATACTTAATGAGCAAGAGTTGGGAAAAGGCGGGATGCCGTGGCTCATACCTGTAATCCCAGCACTTTGGGAGATCAAGACAGGCAGAACGCTTGAGCTCAGGAGTTCGAAACCAGCCTGGGCAACGTAGCGAAACCCCATCTCTACAAAAAATACAGTTTGCTGAAAGTAATTATAAGGAATGAAGTGATAAATAAAATTTAAAAACAACCAAAAAAAAAAGAAAACTAAAGAAAGAACACAAAAAATTAGTCAGGTGTGGTGGTGTATACCAGTGGTCCCAGTTACTTGGGAGGCTGAAGTAGAACTAACACTTGAGCCTGGGGGTCAAGGCTGTAGTGGGCCAAGATCATATGACTGCACTCCAGCCTGGGCGACAGAGTAAAACCCTGTCTATAAAATTTTTTTTTAAAAAAAGAGGCCAGGCTGGGTGCGGTGGCTCACACCTGTAATCCCAGTACTTTGGGAGGCCAAGGCGGGTGGATCACCTGAGGTCAGAAGTTCAAGACCAGCCTGGACAACATGGTGAAACCCCATCTCTACTAAAAGTACAAAAATTGGCCAGGAATGGTGGCACATGCCTGTAATCCCAGCTACTTGGGAGGCTGAGGCACGAGAACCACTTGAACCTGGGAACCCAGGAAGCGGAGGTTGTGGTGAGCCAAGATCGCACCGTTGCACTCCAGCCTGAGCAACAAAGCAAAACTCTGTCTCAAAAAAACAAAAGCCAGTGGCTCACACCTGTAATCCCAGCACTTTGGATTTTGAGAGGTCGAGGCAGGCAGAAAACGTGAGGTCAGGAGTTCGAGACCAGCCTGGCTAACATAGTGAAACCTCGTCTCTACTAAAAATACAAAAACTAGCCAGGCATAGTGGCACACGCCTGTAGTACTAGCTACTCAGGAGGCTGAGGCAGGAGAATTACTTGAACCTGGGAGGCAAAGGTTGCAGTGAGCCAAGATCACGCCACTGCACTCCAGCCTGGGCAACAGAGGGAGACTCCATCTAAATAAAAAAAAAAAAAAAAAAGAGCTGGGGCCAGGTGTAGAGGCTCACGCCTATAATCCCAGCACTTTGGAAGGCTGAGGCAGGCAGATACCTTGAGGTCAGGAGTTCGAGACCAGCCTGGCCAACATGGGAAAACTCTGTCTCTACTAAAAATACAAAAATTAGCCAGGCATGGTGGTTCACACCTGTAATCCCACCTACTCGGAAGGCAGAAGCAGAAAAAGCACTTGAACCCAGAAGGCGAAGGTTGCAGTGAGCCAAGATCACGCCACTGCACTCCAACCTGAGGGTCTTCTAAGGAGTGAGACTCTATCTCCATCAATCAATCAATCAATCAATAATTTTGGAATAAAAGAGAGTGGAACAAGAACTAGTTAGAGAAAACAGAAAATTCGCAAAGTAAGAAAAACCATACCAGCTATAACATATGGTAGGTGTCTAAAATAAACTAGGTTTACAACATAATTAAGAAAGGATCTAATAGAGGATATTTTCAAGGTAGATATGAGTGGGATTTTTTTCAAGCTAATAGGAAATGATGTAGCACCACAGATATCTTAAAAGTTGAACCAAACAATTACAATAGACTTCTATTATTTAAAAATAAAGTTTACCTGCAGCATTTGTTGAAGAAGCAGAATGCTACTGGGAGAGAGCCACTTGGGAACATCATATTTTCCTCTCTACAAAAACAAAGCATTTAAGAGATTCAGGTTCAATCAGCCTTGACACAAATTCCTTAGGTAATAACATGCTGGAGGTTTACTTTTAAGCTTGAAGACTTCACCCAACTACAATACTTGGTAAACATTATTAACTAAAAAAAATCAATTTCTTGGCTGGGCGTGGTGGCTCACACCTGAAGTCCCAGCACTTTGGGAGGTCAAAGCGGGCAGATCACCTGAGATCAGGAGTTCAAGACCAGCCTGGCCAACGTGGTGAAACACTGTCTCTACTAAAAATACAAAAATTAGTCAGTCGTGGTGGCAGGCACCTGTAATCCCAGCTACTCAGGAGGCTGAGGCAGGAGAATCACTTGAACCCAGGAGACGGAGGTTGCAGTGAGCCGAGATCGTGCCACTGCACTCCAACCTGGGTGACAGAGCGAGACTCCATCACAAAAAAAAAAAAAAAAAAACAATTTCTTGCCTTAAAGAAAAAATCGGGCATATTAAATACTATCATTGCCTCTAAATTATCCACATATCAGAGAAGGGCTAGAGCACAAAGAACATAACAGTAGAAAACAAAAATGTCATACAGCTTTGGAATCTGTAGTATTAAATGGACAGTAAGTATACACTGTAGTCTATTTTTATACTGCTGAAACAATTATTAGTTTATAATTTCAGAGCAATTATCAGTTGACAAAATGAAGCAGCAGAAAAGCATATTTGGTGACAGTACATAGGCTATGGTTAAAAACAGGTCATCCACAAAACAGAATTCACAATCTTTGAGGAAAACTAGTGAAAGCCACTTTCTAAGGTAAATACCTCTTTTAGGACTAAAAGAGACTAAGAAGGCAAATGTATACAACCTAGTATACTCAGAAATTATGGCCACCAAGTCATCAAAGAAAAGATCAGGGACTTGGCTAAATGCTAATACATGATAGAATATCTCTTTACACACTTACCACACACATCCTCTTTCCCAATTCAGAGGAAGCAATACAACAGTTTCTCACAGCAGAAATCACATTGTTTAATGATGCTAAGATAACAGGTTAATTATTTGAGAGAAATTGATTGAACTGTAATTCATAGAACATACCAAAATTAATTCCACCCAGATTAAATGAAAATACAAAACCAGGCTGGGCGTGGTGGCTCACACCTGTAATCCCAGCACTTTGGGAGGCCAAGGCAGGTGGATCACGAGGTCAGGAGTTCAAGACCATCCTGGCTGACACAGGGAAACCTTGTTTCTACTAAAAATACAAAAATTAGCTGGGCATGGTGGCGGGCACCTGTAGTCCCACCTACTAGGGAGGCTGAGGCAGGAGAACTGCTTGAACTCAGGAGGCGGAGGTTGCGGTGAGCCCAGATCGTGTCACTGCAGCACTCTAGCCTGGGCGACAGAACGAGACTCCGTCTCAAAAAAAAAAAAAAAAAAGAAAATACAAAACCATAAGAGTACTTAAAGAAAGTATGAGTGATTATTTTTAGAATCTTTCTAGACATGACAGCAAAGCCAACAACTATAAAGAGTAATATATGACAAAATTAACGTTTGATATTTCTGTATAACAAAACATCATTGGCCGGATGTGGTGGCTCACGCCTGTAATCCCAGCACTTTGGGAGGCTGAGGCAGGTGGATCACGAGGTCAAGAGATCAAGACCATCCTGGCCAACATGGTGAAACCCCGTCTCTACTAAAAATACAAAAATTAGCCGGGCGTGGTGGCACGCACCTGTAGTCCCAGCTACTCGGGAGGCTGAGGCAGGAGAATTGCTTGAATCCGGGAGGTGGAGGTCGCAGTGAGCTGAGATTACGCCACTGCACTCCAGCCTGCCAATACAGCAAGATTCCGTCTCAAAAAAAAAAAATTCATTAACAAAGTTAACAACAAATTGAGAAAAAGCCTTTTCCAAAGGTCACAGGCAACTGTCACTGACTACTGCTGACTCCCAGAGAGCTGGCTAGAGTATCTAAAACCCCTCCTTCCCAGGGATAGGCATGGAGCCCAGGCAGCAGTGAGCCTTCAGGTTGGGGTCCAGTTGGCCATACATGAGGCTTGGTAGGGAGAAATAAATTCAAGGCTTCATTGCTACAATTCAAAAACAAACTCTGAGCCAGGCACAGTGGCTCATGCCTGTAATCCCAGCACTTTGGAAGGCCGAGGTCAGGAGTTTGAGACCAGCCTGACCAACATGGTGAAACCCCGTCTCTACTAAATACAAAATATTAGCCAGGCGTGGTGGCGCATGTCTGTAATCCCACCTACTCAGGAGGCTGAGGCAGAAAAATCACTTGAACCCGGGAGGTGGAGGTTGCAGTGAGCCAAGATTGTGCCATAGTACTCCAGCCTGGGCAACAAGAGTGAAACTCCGTCTCAAAAACAAAACAAACAAAAAAGACTTTGTCAGTTTCTGTCTCTGGCAAGTGTTAAGGTGCCCTGGCAAGGGATAAATAAGAATGGGCTCTCAGGCTGGGCACAGTGGCTCACGCCTGTAATCCCAGCACTTTGGGAGGCTGAGATGGGCGGATCACCTGAGGTCGGAAGTTTGAGACCAGCCTGACCAATGTGGAGAAACCCCGTCTCTACTAAAAATACAAAATTAGCCAGGTGTGGTGGCGGGCACTTATAATTCCCAGCTACTCAGGAGGCTGAGGCAGGAGAATCACTGGAACCAGAGAGGCAGAGGTTGCAGTGAGCCGAGATCGCGCCATTGCACTCCAGCCTGGGCAACAAGAGCAAAACTCTTGTCTCCAAAAAAAAAAAAAAAAAGAGAGAGAGAGAGAATGGGTTCTCTGGGTAATACTGAGTGCTTTCGATAAAGGGAATAAAAATGTAATAATATTAAAAGTCATTTGTAAAATGAAAGCTACTGTTCTTCCTAGGAAACACTTGTAGGTCAGTCCATCTACTCTCATCAGAGAGGCTGATTTTTGACCCTTTCTTTTTAGATTCATTGTTTGACAATGCTTCTCTGGGACTTTCATTACTTCTTTAACATAATTGAAAGCCAGCCTGCCATAACATCTTAGGACTCTGAGTGATCCATACCTGTCTGTTTTCCACTTCACCTTTAAGGTGGACTGATTCTGTAAGAATTATATCCTAGACAGTTCATAAGAACAGAGAACCCCAATGCTGGTACAAGTCAATGGCTTCCTCACCTATCTGCCTCCATCCTTCTAGCCGCATTCATTTACAGTTGGCGTGTGTGTGTGTGTGTGTGTGTGTGTGTGTGTGTGTTTGCGCTTGTGCTTGTCCTTGTCTTCTTTGTGTTCCCAGACTAAACTGAGGGTCAGGCTGCTACTTCTTTTCTTTTTTTTTTTTTTTTTCTTCTTGAGATGGAGTTTCACTCTTGTTGCCCAGGCTGGAATGCAATGAGTGATCTTGGCTCACTGCAGCCTCTGCCTCCCGGGTTCAAGCAATTCTCCTGCCTCAGCCTGCAGAGTAGCTGGGATTACGGGTGCCTGCCACCACCCCCAGCTAATTTTTTGTATTTTTAGTAGAGATAGGGTTTCACCATGTTGGTCAGGCTGATCTCGAACTACTGACCTCAGGTGATCCGCCCGCCTCAGCCTCCCAAAGTGCTGGGATTACAGCCGTGAGCCACCATGCCCGGCCTCTTGGGCTGCTATTTCTTGAGGCCCAATAACAAGATATAGATGAACTGGGGAGGAAGAGTTTTTATTTCTGTAACCAGCCACAGGGAAAAGGCCTGGAAATTATCACCAGACCAACTCAAAATTACAAAGTTCTCCAGAGCCTATACACCTTCTAAGCTATATGTCTACGTGTAAGTGTGCATTTATCTAAAAACGTAAGTGACTAACTTCTTTTAAGCTATAACTAAGGTCTGAGTCCCGAAGACCTTCTGGAGCCTCAGTAAGTTTACTTAATCTAAATGGGTCTAGGTGCTAGGGTGATTACCCTTATCTTGTATCCTGCTAAATCATAAAGGTTTGGGGAGTTCCTTTAGACTCCAAAGAAATTGTTTGTGCTTTCTTCAGACCCCCAAAAAATTTGTTTCATCCTAAAAGGGTCCTGAGAAGAATTCCTTCGTTATCTTGTCATGCTTCAAGGCCCTGGAAAAGCCTAGGCAAAACTCTTGGTGGGCTCTTTGTTACATTCCAGCCTTGGTATAAGGGCACTGGCTCAATCAGCTTTTAGTGTATAACCTAGCCACTCAGTCAGTGCTGGGACAGTTGTAATGGAGGCCTGCATTAGTGAGACCTGGCCTGCCACACTTGCACTTATATTTCTAACCTAGAACCCTTATTCAGTGCATTTTGTCTTTCATTCATTTTGGAGGCCCTCTGGAGTTTGTCATAGACCAATTCCTAATTATATCATAAACAATTCTGCGATGAATGTAACCCTTCATAATTTTTTCTTTTTTTTTTTGAGATGAAGTCTCACGGCACAATCTTCGCTCACTGCAACCTCTGCCTCCAGGGTTCAAGCCATTCTTCTGCCTCAGCCTACTGAGTAGCTGGGATTACAGACATGCACCACCATGACTGGCTAATTTTTGCATTTTTAGTAGAGACAGGGTCTCATCATGTTGGCCAGGCTGGTCTTGAACTCCTGGCCTCAGGTGATCCACCCGCCTCAGCCTCCCAAAGTGCTGGAATTACAGGCATGAGCCACCTAGCTGGCTCAAAGTTTGTTTTTGAACTACAGCAATGAAGCCTTGAATTTATTTCTCCCCTACCACGCTTCATCTACAGCCAACTGGACCCCAATCTGAAGGCTCACTGCTGCCTGGGCTCCATGCCTATCCCTGGGAAGGAGGGGTTTTAGATGCTCTAGCCAACTCTCTGGGACTCAGCAGTAGTGAGTCACAGTTGCTGCATGACTGGCCCTGACCTACTTGGCCCCACTCTCGTATCTGAGCTTTACTTTATTCCTGAGACCCAGGCTTTTCGTGATCCCAGTCCTGAGGACTTGCCTTGTTCTCTTTCTTGGCAAACTGCTTATTTGCCCGGTCTCAAATATTTCAGCTTGCTCTTGCCAGGGTCCCATAGAGAGTGGAGATCAGCTTGGAACAAAGAGCTTCCTATGTGCTGATCAAAAGGCCGTGAGCTGCCTGAGTCTCTGATCACAGCCTGCTCCTAGAGTGTCCTCTATCAGCTTCATTCCCTGTACTCTGGGTGGTCTTCCCTCTGCTGTTTGCAAAGCCGTTTGCTGCTTACTCTCTGGACACTATCTGTACTGGGTTGAACAGTATCCCTCCAACTGCACAAGAATGGATTTCTGTTGTTTTAACCCATCACTCTCCAGTATTTTGTTACAACAACCCTAGGAAACTCATACACTATCTATGAGGGTTTAGCTGCTTCACATCACCTCCCCCATACCAGCATCTGTCCACCTCAAGGACAAGTCTGATTCCAGGTTTCAGCCCTTTCTGGTCTGCTCCAACACACAAATAACAGGCCCATAACCAGATCTATCATAATAAAAAAGACATTATGCCTTTAAATTCTGAAACTATCATAATAGGAGACATTATGCCTTTCAATTCTGAAAAGTACTCTTAACTAAAAGTAGGAGTACTCCACAGAAACCAAATGTAAAAATAAATACTCAGACCAAAGTACTAAATAAAGAGAGCTCTACCATACTGATTCCAAATTCCTCTTTGCCTTTTTATCACCCCTTTTTATCAACCTATTTTGAATTCTTAAAGTATCTTTTAATAGATTCCCCTGTGCTTTGCTATAAGCTGGCACCATGGAAGCAATCCTATCCAGAAAGAAGCAGAGAAAACAAGTGAATGAGAAGTGTGGTGTTTGGCACATTGGAACAGGAATGGATTGGAGTCATATATTATATTTGAATCCCAGTTCCGCCTCTTACTGGCTCCATGGGCTTGTAAGAGTTATTCAATCTCTCTGGCCCTGTTTCCTAAGAAAGGCTCTGAAAACAAATTGGCTAGGTTCAAATCCAGGATCTACCTCTTACTAGCTGTATGACCTTATACAAGCTATTTAGCCTTGCTGTGCTTTACTTTCTTCATCTAAAAAAAGAAGTATAACAACAAAAATTAGCTGGGTGTGGTGGCACGTGCCTGTAGTCTCAGCTACTTGGGAGGCTAAGGCAGAAGAATCACTTGAACCCGGAAGGTGGAGGTTACAGTGAGCCGAGATCACGCCACTGCACTCCAGCCTGGGCGACAGAGCGAGACTCCATCTCAAAAAAAAAAAAAAAAAAGAAGTATAATAACGATACCTACTGCATAGAAATTTTGCTAGGGTTCAATGATTTAGTATACATAAAGCATTTAGCACAGTACCATGGACACAGTAAGAGCTTGATAAATGTTAGCTTCGACTGCTGCTGCTGATACTATTACTACCATTATTATTATCTGCGATACAACTAATGCCACTTACAGGATTATAAACCAACAGAATATATGTGAAAGCACTCGGCATACTGCCTTGCATGTAAGAGACAATAAATATGTATTGAATCTGAAATAAACAGGAGATAGGAATATTCAAAAAGTAGTATTCCTTTTTTGAGGGCCAGAGATGGACACATTGGCCAAAAGCCTTGTATCCAAAAGTGCTAAATACTCAGTGCAGCAAGAAAGGCTAAAGGCATTCTGAGGAATGTCATAGGCCTTCCCAATGGAGCACTGCCCCACTGCAGCTATCTCAGAATCTCAGGATTGTCTGGTAAGGTACACATCGTCTAGGCAAGCCCTGTTCACATCACCTCCTGCAATGTCCCCATCCAATTCCCCTATTTGGGCAGAACACCTCTGTAGAGTATCATCCACAAGTGGGTCATAAGGCCTGTGACTCATTACCATGTCCTGACATTCTCAACTTCATTCTCTGTGCTGAAATACTGGCCAAAATAGAGTCCAAAAATGAGCTCTGCTGCCAGGCTTAACCAAATCTCTTATTTGTACACCGTGCTTTAAAATGCGCAAAACACTTGTACATATATTTTACCCTCTGTAGTAGGCAGGGACTATTAACCACATTATACAAATGGAGAAACCAACTGTCAGCCAGGGAGATTAAGTACTTGTTCAATATTGTAGGGCACTGGTGCTCAACTGGGGATGATTTGTCCTACAAGGGGACATCTGGTAGTGTATGGAAACATTCTGAATTGTCACTACTTGGAGATTACCCCTAGCAATTAGTGGGTAAAGGTAATGGATGCTGCTAAACATCCTACAATGCATGACAGTCCCCTACAACAAAGAATTATGTGGTCCAAATGCCAATAGTGTTAATGTTGAGAAACACTGTTACAGAGCAAAAAATGGTCAGAGATAGGACCCTTGTTTCTGCTATTCTTTAAAGAATTTGTGTTTGTTTATTTAAGGGACAATTAACTTGCAAAGGAGAGCAAGAAACAGATAACAGTGGGAGAATCCAAGTGAAGAGAGGGAGAAAAGATCTATGGACTAAGCAAAATAATCCTGGGAATTCCAGTGGCTTGAAATTGTTTTTCACACTGTTCTAAGAGAGGCAGGCCATCTCACCAATACATAATCATAATGCTGTAGTAAACTCCGTAATTGTAAAAATATAATTTCATAAAGAGACAACTTGCTCATTTTCCTTAAAATTATAAATTGTAATTGTTAGGCAGCAATTTTATTTTCAAACTACTCAATTTTCAATTGCTAAATTATTTATACTTCCCTAATATTTGTATACCACAGCTGGAGTACACTCGTGCTTGTCTTTGAATGCAGTGATGACAAATGAATATAGGTAACATTAATAAGATTAATACTCAAGCCATTAGTAATCATGCTAGAAAGTGCAGTTGAGCATTTTGGTTAAAATAGTCAACAAATGCAAAAGATAAACGAAGTCTGCCTTTTAAACAAGAGTTACATACGGTGCGTCAAATATTGCTGGGTTTTTCAATCAAACCAAGAACTGAGGAAAGTGTTATTCCCAAGTGAGGAATTTTAGAACATTCTAGGCAAAGATACATACTGCATGCAAGTGATACGACACCTTAATTAGATTCAACCAGCAGACTGTATTACACTGCGACTCGGAACAATAGTTCTGAGCCAAGATTACAATAAATTTCAAAATCTATAATGTGTGAAATTAAATTCCACAATAATGCATAAAAGTCCTAATTTGAATCAATTTTCAACTTGCAAATACATGAAAAACTAAAAAATGAAATTCAGAGTAGGAGAAACAAAGAATATACAAGTATTAGTAAATACTATTAATTAGGAAGGCCAAATCTCCACTGAACAAGAATTAGACATTTTCTACCATATTCATTCCACTGCAAAGATATTTGATTTTTCAAAAATATCAGAACTTGAATCTCACATATACTATTAGGATATACTTTTTTATTATTTTAAGGTAAGCTCTCTCCCTCAAAGGATTAATCTAGGATCTACTAGTGCATTCAAATAAATAAAAGTAGAAAACACTGAAGTTTGTATGTTGGTACATTCACCTTTTATTGATGAAACAATATACTGATAATAGTATGAATTCCATGGCTGCCATATGAATGTGAACTTGCAGTAACAACAAATGAAGACAAATAAACAGCATAGAGGATTAAGGTCCAGACAGGTAAAAATATAGCAAAGGTTAGAGTTAAGTCAATAAATTAGGATCACCATGAATAGTTCCATTTCAGTAAGGTATTAACAGGGTAAGGTATTCAGTCTCTCTGGCCCTGTTTCCTAAGAAAGGCTCTGAAAACAAATTGGCTAGGTTCAAATCCAGGATCTACCTCTTACTAGCTGTGTGACCTTATACAAGCTATTTAACCTTGCTGTGCTTTAGTTTCTTGGTCTAAAAGAAGTATAATAACGAAAATTAGCTGGGTGTGGTAGGTAAGTAAAATAACAGTTACTTATCTTTGTGGGTAAGTCTACAAAATCTTAGTTAAGCATAGCTGAAACAGAATAAAACTAAAAACCAATACTCGGAACACTTAGGGAGTGGTTCTGTTCTACTCAAGTTTTTTTTTTTTTTTTTTTTTTTTTTTTTTTTTTTTTTTTTTCCCTGAGACAGAGTCTCACTCTGTCATTCAGACTGGAGGGCAGAGGCGTGATCTCACCTCATGGCAACCTCCGCCTCCCAGGTTCAAGCAATTCTCCTGCTTCAGCCTCCTGAGTACCTAGGATTACAGGCATGCACCACTATGCCCGGCTAAATTTTTTTGTATTTTTAGTAGAGATGGGGTTTCACCGTGTTGGCCAGGCTGATTTCGAGCTCCTGACCTCGTGATTCGCCCACCTCAGTCTCCCAAAGTGCTGGGATTGCAGGCGTGAGCCACTGCGCCCAGCCTCTATTCAGTTTTTTAATGAACAACTTAGTTTAGGGATATTTAAGAAATGTGCAAATGTTGGCAGGTGCAATGCTGGCAGGGACAGCTGTTACTACATGAGTGCAGAATCAAGATTCAAAATCTCAAAAGAAGGGAATGCAGCTGGGTGCGGTGGCTCATGGCTGTAATCCCAGCACTTTAGGAGGCCAAGGCAGGCGGATCACAAGGTCAGGAGTTCGAGACCAGCCTGGCCAATATGGTGAAACCCCGTCTCTACTAAAAATACAAAAATTAGCTGGGTGTGGTGGTGAGCACCTGTAGTCCCAGCTACTCTGGAGGCTGAGGCAGGAGAATCGCTTGAACCCAGGAGGCAGAGGTTGCAGTGAGCCAATAATCACGCCACTGCACTCCAGCCTGGGAGACAGAGCGAGACTCCATCTCAAAAAAAAAAAAAAAAAAAGGAAGAGAATGCTAGGCTGAAACAAGAAAAATTGAATGTGAAGAAACAGAAGTCAAAGAACTTATAGCTACTCAGAGCTGGAATGGATCTTGAAAATAACTGATTACTGCAATGCTCTAATGCTGCTGATGAAGGAAACAAGGACCAGTAAGTATCCTTGCGGGGTGACACCTAAAATGCGTGGGAAAGCCTATGCACAGTAATACCTAAATGAATTGGGAGAACTAACTTGTAGCCTTAGTAAATCAGAAAAGATGGGATGTCTGGGAAATTTCCCAAATTAATAAGCATAAAAAGATGCTTGGGAGGGGATCCTTCTTCCTCTAGGCATCTGTGATTCTTAGGTGACTAGCAACTACAGAGCTGAGAAACAATATTTCATTGTGGTTATAAGAATGGGCTGCCAGCTTGACTGCTAGGGTTCAAATCCCAGCTCTGCTACTCACTAGCTATAAGACCCTGAATAAGTTATTTAAGGTCTCTGTCCCTTCATTTCTTCATCTGTAAGAGGAAGACAATAATAGCAACCACCTCATTTAGAGCACAGCCTGGTAAGTAACAAAACTCATGCATGTTAAGTATTACTTTTGTGACAAAAGGATGAGAATATGCACGCCAGCAAACATTTTATTTTTTCTGATCAACCATGTGCAATAGCCACAAAGATATGCAACACACACACTTCAGAAAGCTCTATCCATTTGGAGGGGGGAAACAAGGAAGTAGAGAAAAAAGCAGAAAGAATTAAACCACCAAAAGACTGCTGCAGATGCTCTAGACAGAAGAGATTTCATTCAGCACAACTCAAACACAGAACTCCATTTCTGGACACCTACAGACACTTAGACCTGGCCTGCAGAAGGCATCTCCCCCACTCTCTACATATTTTTGGGGGGTTCAAAACTCACTGAAAACTTTATCATTCCATTTTTTTTTAAATCTACATAATACCTCATTTTGTTTTACACATCATACATCTTTATTGAGACTTTTTATGGTCAAGGTGAATATGCAAAATTTTAGCTGGATAAAATGACTCTAGTTATCCTTTATGGCATAGTATCTCATAACCAAGAAGTAAGTATGGTTAGAAGGCTCAATGTTTACAGAAGAATGCCAATCCTAGCCCCAGTTATACTCATGGCCCCTCTTGTTCTTATTCAGCATCACAGAATACCCATAACTTCAAGTAATTTCCAGGTAGAATAATCCCTAATTGACTGACACTCAATAACCTGGCTGAGAGGTATTATACTTATCAAGGGACTGCCTAAAGAATACGTAGAGTTAGGCCAGCACAGTGGCTCATGCCTGTAATCTCAGCACTTTTGAGAGGCTGAGGCAGGTGAATCATTTGAGGTCAGGAGTTCAAGACCAGCCTGACCAACATGGTGAAACACTGTCTCTACTAAAAATACAAAAATTAGCCAGGTGTAGTGGTACACGCCTGTAATCCCAGCTACTTGGGAGGCTGAGGCAGGAGAATTGCTTGAACCTGGGAGGCGGAGGTTGCAGTGAGCTGAGATCGTGCCACTGCACTCCAGCCTGGACAACAGAGCAAGACTCCGTCTCAAAAAAAAAAAAAAAAATACTTAGAGTTGACCATTCACTCATTCTTGACTGGCGGTCTTCAAAGATTTATATTAATTTTCTATCTATCTAATAAATAAGAAATTGAGCTTTGTTAATATTTAGTACATGGATCGGCACTAGTACGCTCACTAGTCCCTATATAACCTACACTATGAGACACTCTTAAGAAAGAATGGTATTGCAAAGCAGTGCTTTACAGGAGCACAGTTACATGGATTTACAGATTATAGTATACGGTTTAATGAAGCTAAATCCTCATTGAATAGACAAGTGGCTCAAAACTCTTGCAAAGAAACCACAGATTGAAGACTATGAATACAAGCAAACAGTAATGGAGCTGACACTTCTACTTTTAGGATATCAACCAAAACACAAAGTTAAAAAAATACCTAATTAGATTTAACAAGTTGTCTGCAAAACTTGAAATTAGCAAGACTATTTTAAATAAGGACTTATATACACTATTGTTAAAAATGAACCTCAAATCTTAAGTATATATGGCTACGTTGACATCATGATTCAATTTTCTTTTTCTTTTTTTTTTTTTTTTGAGGAGCCTCTGTCTGTCACCCAGGCTGGAGTGCAGTGGCGCAATCTCAGCTCACTGCAACCTCTGCCTCCCAGGTTCAAATGATTCTCATGCCTCAGCCTCCAAAGTAGCTGGGATTACAGGCATGCACCACCACGACCAGAAAATTCTTGTATTTTTAGTAGAGATGGGGTTTCACCATGTTGGCCAGGCTACTCCTGGCCTCAAGTGATCTGCCCACCTCAGCTTCCCAAAGTGCTGGGATTACAGAAGTGAGCCACTGGGCCCTTTTTTTTTTTTTAAAGACATGGAGTCTATGGCCTGGGCTGGAATGCAATGGTGCAATCATAGCTCACTGCAGCGTTGAACTCCTAGGCTCAAGCAATCCTCCCACCTCAGTCTCCTGAGTAGCTAGGACTAAAGACAAATGCCACCATGCCCAGCTAATTTTTTTTTTATTTTTTGTAGAGACGGAGTCTCACGATGTTGCCCAGGCTGGTCTCAAACTTCTGGCCTCAAGCCATGTCCCTAACTCAGCCCCCCAAAGTGCTGGGACTACAGGCACGAGCCACCACACCTGGTCTACAATTAGATCTTTAAAATCCAGAATCCAGAATGTGAAAGCAAATCTCTACAGTTTTTTTTATGATGTTTAAAGTCAAGAAAACATACTAAAGCAAATTCTAGATGAATCAAACATTTAAACATTTTTAAAAAGTGAAACCATAAAAACACTAGAAGAAAACACAGATATTTTAAAAAATAAAGTCAAAAAGCCCTTCCAAATATGACAATAAAAAATTGACAGGCTGGGCACAGTGGCTCATGCCTATAATCCCAACATTTTGAGAGGCCAAGGTGGGAGGATCACTTGAGGCCAGAGACAAGCCTCAGCAATATAGCAAGACCTTATCTCTACAAAAAATATTAGCCAAGTGTGGTAGCGCACGCCTGTAGTTCCAGCTACTCAGGAGGCTGAGGCTGGAGGATCACTTGAGCCCAGGAAATTGAGGTTGCAATGAACTATGACTGCACCACTGCACTCCAGCCTGGGTGACAGAGCAAGACCCTGTCTCTAAAAAAAAAAAGAAAGAAAAAAAGAAAAAGATTGATGAATTTCACTAAATAAAAACTAAAAATTCCTGCACAGCAAAAATAAGTCTTAAACATAACAATCAAAAACAGTGATACACTGTATTGGTGGGGGGGTATGGAGAAACTGGCATTATTATGCTACTGTTGGTAGTTGCATAAACCAATAGGACTTTACTGGGAAGCAATTTGGCAATATCTATCAAAATTACTAATTCACATATCTTTGACCCACCAACTGTTCTAGAAATTTTCTTACAGATTTATTATATTCACAATGTACAAATGACTACTTGGAAATTACTTAAATGTCCATTAACCTAGGACTGGTTAAATAAATTATGGTACATGCATACAATGCAATTCTATGCAGTCATAAAAAGAATGAAGAGGCTCTGAGGTGGGTATGAAGTGCTATGATTTCCAAGACACACTGCTAAGGGAGGAAAACAAAGTGCAGAACAGTGTTTATGGTATGCTACCATCTGTGTAAAAAAAAAAAAAAAAAAAACTGGGAAGGGGGTAGCAGAAAGAGAAAATATATAAATATAAAATTCCTTACATATGCAGGCTAATGTCTGAAAAAAATACGTAAAAATCTGATAAACGTGATAGCAATGATTGCCTCTAAGAAAACAGGTTTTATGGCCAGGCGCGGTGGCTCACGCCTGTAATCCCAACACTTGGGAGGCTGAGGCAGGCTGATCACCTAAGGTCAGGAGTTCGAGACAAGCCTGTCCAACATGGTGAAACCCCATCTCTGCTAAAACTACAAAAATTAGCTAGGCGCGGTGGTGGGAGCCTGTAATCCCAGCTATTCAGGAGGCTGAGGCAGAAGAATCGCTTGAACCTGGGAGGTAGAGGTTGCAGTGAGCCGAGATCACACTACTGCACTCCAGCCTGGGTGACAAAGTAAGGCTCTGCCTTAAAAAAAAAAAAAAAAAAAAGAGTTTGACATGCTAGATACCTTTAATAATTTTCCAACTTTCTAGCTACTCGGGTTACTCCCCTCATCCAATCCATGCACAAATCATGTTAGCTATGCCTTCAAAAGACATCCAGACTGTTCTACATTCTGACTGTGGCAATGGTTATATGAATCTATATATGTGTTAGAATTCATAGACCTGTATATACAAAGGGTCAATTTTACTGTATATACAAAGGGTCAATTTTACTTTACCCTTTGTATATACAGGTCTACTTTTACTTTTAATTTTGTTAATACAAAAATAATTTTTTTCTTTGCCACCGCGCCGGCGAGCGCCGCCCGGGAAGCAGCGGCTGGAGGAGCGGACGGGCCCCGCGGGGCCCGAGGGCAAGGAGCAGCCGCCTGCCTTGGCCTCCCAAAGTGCCGAGATTGCAGCCTCTGCCTGGCCGCCACCCCGTCTGGGAAGTGAGGAGTGTCTCTGCCTGGCTGCCCATCGTCTGGGATGTGAGGAGCCCCTCTGCCTGGCTGCCCAGTCTGGAAAGTGAGGAGCGTCTCCGCCCGGCCGCCATCCCATCTAGGAAGTGAGGAGCGCCTCTTCCCAGCCGCCATCACATCTAGGAAGTGAGGAGCGTCTCTGCCCAGCCGCCCATCGTCTGAGATGTGGGGAGCGCCTCTGCCCCGCCGCCCCATCTGGGATGTGAGGAGCGCCTCTGCCCGGCCGAGACCCCGTCTGGGAGGTGAGGAGCGTCTCTGCCCGGCCGCCCCGTCTGAGAAGTGAGGAGACCCTCTGCCTGGCAACCACCCCGTCTGAGAAGTGAGGAGCCTCTCCGCCCAGCAGCCACCCCATCTGGGAAGTGAGGAGCGTCTCCGCCCGGCAGCCACCCCGTCCGGGAGGGAGGTGGGGGGGGGTCAGCCCCCGCCAGGCCAGCCGCCCCATCCGGGAGGGAGGTGGGGGGGTCAGCCCCCCGCCTGGCCAGCCGTGCCGTCCGGGAGGGAGGTGGGGGGGTCAGCCCCCCGCCCGGCCAGCCGTGCCGACCGGGAGGGAGGTGGGGGGGTCAGCCCCCCGCCCGGCCAGCCGCCCCATCCGGGAGGGAGGTGGGGGGATCAGCCCCCCGCCTGGCCAGCCGTGCCGTCTGGGAGGGAGGTGGGGGGGTCAGCCCCCCGCCTGGCCAGCCGTGCCGTCTGGGAGGGAGGTGGGGGGGTCAGCCCCCCGCCCGGCCAGCCGCCCCGTCCGGGAGGTGAGGGGCGCCTCTGCCCGGCCGCCCCTACTGGGAAGTGAGGAGCCCCTCTGCCCGGCCAGCCGCCCCGTCCGGGAGGGAGGTGGGGGGGGGGTCAGCCCCCCCGCCCGGCCAGCTGCCCCGTCCGGGAGGTGAGGGGCGCCTCTGCCCGGCCGCCCCTACTGGGAAGTGAGGAGCCCCTCTGCCCGGCCACCACCCCGTCTGGGAGGTGTGCCCAACAGCTCATTGAGAACGGGCCAGGATGACAATGGGGGCTTTGTGGAATAGAAAGGCGGGAAAGGTGGGGAAAAGATTGAGAAATCGGATGGTTGCTGTGTCTGTGTAGAAAGTAGAAGACATGGGAGACTTTTCATTTTGTTCTGCACTAAGAAAAATTCCTCTGCCTTGGGATCCTGTTGATCTGTGACCTTACCCCCAACCCTGTGCTCTCTGAAACATGTGCTGTGTCCACTCAGGGTTAAATGGATTAAGGGCGGTGCAAGATGTGCTTTGTTAAACAGATGCTTGAAGGCAGCATGCTCGTTAAGAGTCATCACCAATCCCTAATCTCAAGTAATCAGGGACACAAACACTGCGGAAGGCCGCAGGGTCCTCTGCCTAGGAAAACCAGAGACCTTTGTTCACTTGTTTATCTGCTGACCTTCCCTCCACTATTGTCCCATGACCCTGCCAAATCCCCCTCTGTGAGAAACACCCAAGAATTATCAATAAAAAAATAAATTAAAAAAAAAAAAAAAAAACCCAAAAATAATTTTTTAAAAAAGACATCCAGGCCAGAAGCAGTGGCTCACACCTGTAATCCCAGCACCTTGGGAGGCCGAGGCAGGTGAATCACCTGAGTCAGGAGTTCAAGACCAACATGGCCAACATGGCGAAACCCCATCTCTACTAAAACTACAAAACTTAGCCACGCATGGTGGCAAGGACCTATAATCCTAGCTACTCAGGAGGGTGAGGCAGGAGAATCACTTGAACCCAGGAGGCGGAGGTTGCAGTGAGCCAAGACGCACCACTGCACTCCAGCCTGGACGACAGGGCGAGACTCTGTCTCAAAAAAAAAAAAAAAGACATCTAGTATCTACCCACTTTTTACCACCTCCACTGCCACCATCTCTTATCTGAATCATTACAATATCCTCCTGACCAGATGCCCTGGTTCTCTTCACTTCCTACAGTCATCTCCACATAGCAGCCAGTGTGATCCTGTTAAAAACTAAACCAAATCATGTCCTCAAAAGCCTCCAATGGCTCCCCATTTCACGTAGAAAAAATGCCAAAGTCCTTATGAGAGCCTACCCAGCCCAAAGCAGCTTGACTCCTGTTCCCAAGGTTTCCTTTCCTACTGCCCTCCTCACTTGCTAAACTCAGGCTGCACTGGCCCTCTCACCCTCCCTTGACAACACCAGGCATGTTCCTACCTCCCAGTCTTTGCTCTAGCTGTTCCCTCTGCCGGAAATATTTTTCTCCTAGATATCCACTTGACACTCTCACATCCCTCAAGTCTCCTTACATCTCGCCTCCATGAAGTTTATCCTGACCACCTTATTTAATCATGCAACCTACTGGCCCTTTCCTCCACAACTCCCCCATCTGTACTCCTGATTCCTCTTCATCCTACTCAATTTTTTTCTCTTTTCCAAAGTACATATCATCTTTTAGTAAAATTTACTTGTTATGCTTATTGTCTTTCTCTACATCCCCACTACTAGAAGATAAACTCCACGAGGACAGGGATCTTTCATCTGTTTTATTCACAGATATACCCCACACATCTAGAAAAGTGCCTGGCACATATTAGGTGTTTGGTAACTATTTTACTCCTCCCTAAGGTGAAATGACATCGAATAAATGAGTAAATGAACAAACAAATGAACACATAAACAAGTGGTTGTCTTTCTGATTAGAGAACATTTGAACAGAGACCTGAAAGAAGGGAGGGAACAAAGCATCTCTCCGGGAGAAAACCATTTCAGGTGAAAGGGTAAGTACAAATGCCCTGAGGCAGGCACACCTTAGCGTGTTCCAGGAAAAGGGGAAAAAAGAAACAACAAGGAGGACAATGTGGGTGGCACAAGTGAGGCAGGGAGTAGACCATGAGGGCAGTGAGGTGATGGGAGGCCACATTACACGGGGGAAAACCCACAGCACACAGGGCAAACACTGGCTTGTACTCGAGATGAGAAAGAGGCCACTAGAGAGCTTCAAATGAAATGTTATGATCTATGTTAGTTAAATGTTATATGTTAGTTAAAAATCTTTCCATAAAGAAGGCACAGGTGGAGTTGAACTTCCAAGCACATTCTACAAAACATCCACAAAAAAATTGTCAAGCTCTCCCCAAGAAAAGTAAAAGAAAGAATACTCCCCAATGTAACTTTATGGGGCTAATACAAATCATGAAACCAAAACCAAACATACAAAGATAGTTCCCAAAAAAGTACACATTAATTTTTGAGCCAATTTTAAGTCCTGGACAAAATACTGGCAAATCTCATTTAGAAATGCATGTAATCCCAGCCTCTTTGGGAGGCCAAGGCAGGAGGATCACTTGAGGTCAGTTCGAGACCAGCCTGGCCAACATGGTGAAACCTCATCTCTACTAAACATACAAAATTAGCTGAGCTTGGTGGCACTCGCCTGTAATCCCAGCTACTTGGGAGGCTGAGGCAGGAGAATTGCTTGAACCCAGGAGGCAGAGCTTGCAGTGAGCCAAGATGGCGCCACTGCACTCCAGCCTGGGCAACAGAGCAAGGCTTTGTCTCAAAAATAATTGCCAGATGTGGTGGCTCATGCCTGTAATCCCAGCATTTTGGAAGGCCAAGGTGGTGGATCACTTGAGGTCAGGAGTTCGAGACCAGCTTGGCCAACATGGCAAAACCCCTTCCCTACTAAAACTACAAAAATTAGCCAGGCACGGTGGCGCATGATTGTAATCCCAGCTACTCAGGAGGCTGAGGCAAGAGAATCGCTTGAACTGAGGAGGCGGAGGTTGCAATGAGCTAAGATCGCGCCATTGCACTCCAGCCTGGGTGACAGAGCGAGACTCTGTCACAGAAAAAAACAAAACAAACAAACAAAAATAAAACAATAATAGCAGCCAGGCACAGTGGCTCACACCTATAATCCCAGCACTTTGGGAGGCAGAGGAGCGCAGATCACGAGGTGAGGAGTTCAAGACCAGCCTGACCAATATGGTGAAACCCCGTCTCTACTAAAAGTACAAAAATTAGCCAGGCATAGTGGTGCCCACCTGTAGTCCCAGCTACTTGGAAGGCTGAGGCAGAAGAATTGCTTGAACCTGGGAGGTGGAGGGTGCAGTGAGCCGAATCTAACCACTGCACTCTAGCCTGGGCAACAGCACGAGACGCCATCTCAAAATAATAATAATAATAATAATAATAATAATAATAATAGCTACATTTATTGAGCACCACTCTAAATGCTTTTCATGGATTAACTCATTTAATCTTCACAACAACCCTATGCCGTGTTATTTCATCCATTTTTACAGACAAAGAAACTAAGACACAGAGAGGCTAAATAATTTACCAAAGTCCACAGATAGAAAGTAGAGATTCTGAAGCTTCTGAATTTCAAAAACCTCAATGATATTCTGATTTAATTGCTCTGGGGGTGGAACCAATACTCTTTAAAGCACCCCAAGCAATTCTAATGTGCAACTATGGTTAGGAAGAATTAAATCCATTAGCTAACTTTCCCCACCCTGAGAGAGAGTACATGGACATAGCCAAGGCAGGAGACATTTTAGTGAGGATTAAATATAAAACAAGCAACAAGGGTCAGAAAACATGATTTCCCAGGTGCTTTCCAACAGTGAAATTCTACCATTATCTGTTTCCACAGTCTTTCTAGAAGTCTAGGAGGTGTAATATTCCGTGTTACACCAGCTAGCAGATTCAATTCTAGTTCACTTTGGAGAAATCTGTCAGCTTATTTCTTTGGGATGGAGTTCCCAAAACAAGAATAGGGTAAAATATCCTAGCAGCTTATAATACAAGCCGAGTATCCCTTACCCAAATGCTTGGGAACAGAAGTGTTTCAGATTTCAGGCTTTGGAATATGTGCATTATACGCTTACTGACTGAATATGCCAAATCCGAAAATCCAAAACCTGAAATGCTCCAGTAAGCATTTCCTTTGAGCATCAACTCAGCACTCAAAAAGTGTCAAATTTTGGAGCATTTCAAATTTTGGATTTTCAGATTAGGGATACTCAACCTATACTAGAATACAATTATTTCAGAATAAAAAACACAGCCCTACTTTACAGAAAAAAGTAGCAAAAAGAGGGAAGAATTCAAGAGGCCAACCTAATATTTTGTAAAAGTATAACTGGATAAATGTTACTGAGCTGCCCAAAGACCACTTCTGTTGACTGGAGCTAAAGCCACAAAAAGATCCTAACCCTACTCTCCCCTGTATCCTGATGTGGATGCAGTCAGGTATGGCTCTATGGAGTCAGGAACTGCTGCCACAGTCAGCATGCAGAAGCCAAAGCAACGAGTGCTACCCAGCAAAGTTCAAGAAAGCTCAAGAAGTGACAGGAGGAAAACAAGCTGTCTTGGCTACAGCAGCAGGCTCTAGGAGGCCGGCCTCCAGCCCACTGCCTCATTTATCTCCCCTTCACAAGGAGAAGCCTGGACACACATGGGTCCCCAAAGCGGTGTTAATAGCTACCGCTCACACTGCTTCTTTTTGATCCTGCAGAATCAGAGCTCCTCAGTCTTCAAGGAGTTGGAACTATTGCAATTCCATCTCTTTCCAAAGCTATTCTCTGAAGCTTGGGAATCAACTTTAAAGAATCTTCCAAGGTGGGATATAGGAAAAACTATAAGTCAAATAAAAGTTGAAGATTGAACTCAGTGTCCTTAGACTTGGTGTTCTATGGAGTGGGCAACAAGCCAACTGGGTCTACCACTTTCAACACTGTATGCTACTTCCTAGAAGTGAGAGTTGCTTTAGGTAGTCTCCTCATCTAATTGTTAGAGATCCAATGGTCCAGCTACAAAAAACTGCCCATTCCTCCCCACGTCTCTCCCACTTCTATGCCTTTGCTCATGCTACCTGTACTATCAGGAATGCTCTTGCCCACATCCCTTTCTGAAACACTTCCACCCTTCTTTTAAAGACCTGCTCAAACCTCACTTCCTCTAAGATGCCCTCCCAGAGCCACCCCAACTCCTGTATTAATTTCATTTACACTCTGTTATAATATGGCATTCCTCACCCTTTGCCGTTTTTAGATAGCTTATACCTGTCTCCAACAAGAGATCAGGCCCTGGTGGACAATAATAAAGTTTCATAGATCTTTTCTATGCCTTTCAGCATCTTATATAAAGCAGAAATTCAGGAAATATTTGTTAAACAGAATTGGATTCAAGAAGCATTCAGAAGGCCAGGCACAGTAGCTCACACCTGTAATCTCAGCACTTTGCAAGGCTGAGGTGGGAGGATCACTTGAGCACAGGAGTTTGAGACCAGCCTGGGTAACATAGGGAAGATCCTATCTCTACAAAAAAATTTTTTTAATTAGCCGGATGTAGTGGTGCAGTGCCTGTGGTCCCAGCTAGTGGGGAGGTTGAGGTGGGAGGACCACTTGAGCCCAGAGGGTCAAGGCTACAGTGAGCCATGATCGCACTCCTGCACTTCAGCCTGGGTGACACAGCAAGACCTTATCTCAAAAAAAAAAAAAAAAAAGAAGAAGAAAGAGAGTGAAGCATTCAGAGATGCTGCTCTGCTAGTCTGACCTCAGTTTGCTATGGAACACAAGATGTTCTTTCTTCCTCTTTACATGTCTTCTTTTGTTAGTTTGCTTTGAAATAATTTTCCTATTTTCCTTCCTGTGATTTTTTTGATTTTTTAACTGAACATAATTCACATACCATAATATTTACCCTTTTAAAGTGTAGATTTTAGTATATTCACAAAGTTGTGTAATCATCACCTCTTTCTAATTCCAGAATGTTTTCATCATCCCAAAAAGAAAACCCATACTCACAGGCAGTCACTCTCCACCCCTAACCCCAAGCAACAACTTATCTACTCTCTGTCTCTGATATATAGGATTTTAACAAAGCTTACAGTAGGTGATCTCAATTGTGGTTTTATTATAACCTGAAGCCAAAATTTTATCTTCCAAAAAAAGAAAAGAGGAGGTTCTTATTTTATAAGTCAAAAGGAAAATGTGATTTGACACAGCATTCTGTTTTTATTTTGTTAAGCTTTTCATTGAAGAAGTATATGTATAGAAGTTTATATATTGGGCCGGGTGCGGTGGCTCATGCCTGTAATCCCAGCACTTTGGGAGGCCGAGGCAGGCAAATCACCTGAGGTCGGGAGTTCGAGACCAGCCTGACCAACATGGAGAAACCCCGACTCTACTAAAAATACAAAAAATTAGCCGGGCGTGGTGGCACATGCCTGTAATCCCAGCTACTAGGGAGGCTGAGACAGGAGAATCGCTTGAACCTGGGAAGCAGAGGTTGCGGTGAGCCAAGATCGCACCATTGCACTCTAGCCTGGGCAACAAGAGCAAAACTCCATCTCCAAAAAAAAAAAAGAAGTTTGTATAACGTAAGAGTACACCTCAATGAGTTTTCAAAAACTGAATGCTGTAGTCCCCCTTATCAGCAGGTAATACTTTCCAAGACACCCATGGATGCCGGAAACCACGGATAGCAATGAACCCTATATGTGCTATGTTTCTTTCCATATATATATATATATACACAAGTTTGATAAAGTTTAATTTATACATTAGGCAGAATAAGAGATTAACAATAACATAATAAAATAGAATAATTATAACAATATACTGTTAAAAATGTTATGTGAATGTGCCTTTTTTTTTTTTTTTTTTTTTTTTTTGAGACAGAGTCTTGCTCTGTCGCCCAGGCTGGAGTGCAGTGGCGTAATCTCGGCTCTGCAAGCTCCACCTCCTGGGTTCACCCCATTCTCCTGCCTCAGCCTCCCGAGTAGCTGGGACTACAGGCACCCGCCACCATGCCCGGCTAATTTTTTGTATTTTTAGTAGAGACGGGGTTTCACCACGTTAGCCAGGATGGTCTCGATCTCCTGACCTCGTGATCTGCCAGTCTCAGCCTCCCAAAGTGCTGGGATTACAGGCGTGAGCCACCGCGCCCGGCCTGAATGTGCCTCTTTCTCTCAAAATATCTTACTGTATTACACAAACTCACCAATTTTCAGACCGCAGTTGACCATGGGCAACTAAGACCGCAGAAAGCAAAACTGCTGACAAGGGGAAACTACTGTATACAAGTGTAGCCAACTCCCAGATTAAGAAACAGAACAGAAGCCCACTCCTTAACCACTCCCAAAGAATAACTAAGATTTTGACTTCTAACAGCAGAGAATAACTTTTATGCCTGTTTTTGTACATTTATGAATGAAAGCATATACTATTCGGTATAGAAAAGTTCTACATTGAAATTCTATGCCTTGTAATACTCACCATAATCTTCTTGTATAAAGCCATTACATTATCATCATCAAATGGTAGAAATCCACACATAAGAACATATAACAGTATGCCCATGCTCCAAACATCTGCCTGAGAGAAAGAGGGAAAAAGAAAAATTACTGAAACAAAAATTCAAACATATTTCAGAATGGTAGGACTCTTGATCCAATCACAGAATTGTCGCAAAGCTAAAAAAGAACTCAGATATCAACCATTTCAACCTGCTTATTCTATAGTCAGAGAACCTGAAGCTAAGGAGGCTTGCCTAAAGTCACCCAGTCAATTGGAGGCCACCCAGGAAGACCTCCTGACTTCCAATTTAATGCACTCTCCTCCAGCTGGACTCTAACACTTAACAGAAAATAATTTCCAGTAGGCTGGGCTGGATTGGACATGATAAGAAGATGAGACAATTCTACAGTGCTACTGAAGGTTTAGGTTACATATGAAGATTATGTAAACAGGCATGAGGATGTCTTAAAATTTATTGATAATCAGCAAGTATGACTAAGTTGTACTATAAAATTCTATGTAGAGAACTTTAATAAAGTTCAATGATTGACTTTTCAAATGTAGAGGTGGCCGGGCCTGGTGGCTCATGCCTGTAATCCCAGCACTTTGGGAGGCCAAGACGGGTGGATCACCTGAGGTCAGGAGTTTGAGACTAGCCTGGCCAACATGGTGAAACCCCGTCTCTCCTAAAACTACAAAAATTAGCCGGGCATGGTGGCGCATGCCCACAGTCCCAGCTACTCGGAAGGCTGAGGCAGGAGAATCGCTTGAATCCAAGAGTCGGAGGTTGCAGTGAGCCGAGATCACGCCACTGTACTCCAGCCTGGGCGACACAGTGAAACTCCATCTAAAAATATATATCATTTATTTATATATATTATATAGATTATTTATTATATATATTATATATGTATATATGTACATATATATGCATGCATGTCCATATATACATATATGCATACATGTATACATATATATGTCCATATATACATATACATATGTGTCCATATATACATATATGTCCATATATACACCTATACATATGTATATATTATATACACACCTATACATATGTATATATTATATATTATATACACACCTATACATATGTATATATTATATATTATATACACACCTATACATATGTATTTATTATATACACACCTATACATATGTATATATATACACACCTATACATATGTATATATTATATACACACCTATACATATGTATATATATACACACACCTATACATATGTATATATTATATACACACCTATACATATGTATATATTATATACACACCTATACATATGTATATATTATATACACACCTATACATATGTATATATTATATACACACCTATACATATGTATATATTATATATACATATAGACTAGAAATTAGCCTACCAGCACAAATAGTCCTACAAACCTCAAATATATATGTATATATACATAGAGAGAGAGAGAGACACTAGAAATTAGCCTACCAGCACAAATAGTCCTACAAATCTCAAAATCCCAGAAAAGAGCTTAACCTTTATATGTGATATCCATGTGTCCCATGAGTCCTAAGCAGTAACTATTTGTTCAAGCAGTATTTGGCCTTAGTCAGTAATGATGCCACCATTAGCTGAGGAGAAGTCACAGCTCTTACTCTCATTTGAGCCTTAGGAAATTTTTTTTTTTTTTTTTTAGAGACAGGGTCTCACTCTGTTGCCTAGGCTGGGGTGCAGTGGCACAATCTCAGCTCACTGCAACATTTGCCTCCCAGGCTTAGGCAAGTTTTAAGAGCAAAAAAAGAAAAAGAGGAAAGAAGGAAAGGAAGGAAGAAAACAAAGAAAGAAAAGAAAGAGAAAACAGTTAAAATAACTTGAGCAGCATCACATATCTGGGTAGTACTTATACTAGATAAGCCAAATCTAACCCCTAGTCCTGTCTACCAAATCATATCAAATTATTAGGACTCTACTATGACGTCTCAAGTGAACAATTTGCTTTGAAGCAAACACTTGATTACTCTTCCAAGTTGCAGGAGGTCAGAAATTGACCATTTACGCCTCCGAGATGTCAAATATTTAATCTATAAATTGAGACATGATGGTATGACACTCATTCATGGTATTAAATTCAAAGCAGATCAGGTGCAGTGGCTCACACCTATAATCCCAGCACTTTGGGAGGCCAAAACCAGCCACCTCCCACCTGAGGTCAGGAGTTCAAGACCAGCCTGGTCAACATGGTAAAACTCCATCTCTACTAAAAATACAAAATTTGGCCGGGTGTGGTAGTGGACACCTGTGATACCAGCTACATGGGAGGCTGAGGCAGGAGAATTGCTTGAACCCGGGAGGTAGAGGTTGAAGTGAGCTGAGATCACACCATGGCACTCCAGCCTGGGCAACAGAGCGAGACTCCATCTCAAAAAAAATTCAAAGCAAAGAGGTTGCACAGGAAAGAGTGAACTACATGGTGGTTCATGCCTGTAATCCACACTTTGGGAAGCAAGGTAGGCAGATCACCTGAAGTAGGGAGTTCAAGACCAGCAGGGCCAACATGGTGAAACCCTGTCTCTACTAAAAAGATAAAAAAATTAGCCAGGTGTGGTGGTGCATGTCTGTAATTCCAGCTACTCAGGAGGCCATTGCACTCCAGCCTGGGGGACAAGAGCAAGACTTCGTCTCAAAAAAATAAATAAATAAATAATGGCTGGGCGCAGTGGCTCACACCCATAATCCTAACACTTTAGGAAGCCAAGGCGGGCAGATCACCTGAGGTTGGGAGTTCAAGACCAGCCTGACCAACATGGAGAAACCCCGTCTCTACTAAAAATACAAAATTTGCCAGGCGGCGTGGTACATGCCTATAATTCCAGCAATTCGGGAGGCTGAGGCAGGAGAATCGCTTGAACTCGGGAGGTGGAGGTTGCAGTGAGCCAAGATCACGCCATTGCACTCCAGCCTGAGTGACAGAGTGAGACCCTGTCTCAAAAAAAAGGGTCAGGCATGGTGGCTCACGCCTGTAATCCCAGCACTTTGGGAGGCCAAGGTGGGCGGATCAGCTGAGGTCAGGAGTTCGAGACCAGCCTGGCCAATATGGTCCTGTTGGACTCAAGCAGTCCTTCCACTCCCACTCAATCCCACCAGGGTTGAGTCAAACCCTGTCTCTACTAAAAATATAAAAATTAGCAGGGCATGGTGGCATGTGCCTGTAATCCAAGCTACTTGGAAGGCTGAGGAATGAGAATCGCCTGAACCCAATGAGAATCGCCTGAACCCGGGAGGCAGAGGTTGCAGTGAGCCGAGATTGCACCATCGCACTCCAGCCTGGGGGACAAGAGCGAGACTTTGTCTCAAAAAAAAAAAAAAAAAAAAAAAAAAAGCCCGGGCGCGGTGGCTTACACCCATAATCCTAACACTTTGGGAAGCCGAGGTGGGCAGATCACCTGAGGTTGGGAGTTCAAGACCAGCCTGACCAACATGGAGAAACCCCGTCTCTACTAAAAATACAAAATTTGCCAGGCAGGGTGGTACATGCCTGTAATTCCAGCAATTCGGGAGGCTGAGGCAGGAGAATCGCTTGAACTCGGGAGGCAGAGGTTGCAGTGAGCCAAGATCACACCATTGCACTCCAGCCTGGGCAACAAGAGCGAAACTCCGTCTCAAAAAACAAACAAACAAACAAAAAAACACACAAGAAGTCAACAGAAAGATTATGTCTAGGGTTAAACTTAAAGAGGAATAAAATGATAATAACATCCCCATAGTGCTACCAACACTTATTAGAAAAAAGAAAGCAGAAAAAGCATTTTTCAGTTAACTGAAAGTACCTTTACTTCGCTGTTTTGAATTGAATATGAGAATAAATTAACTAAAATCATAAAAAAACCAAAGCAAATGCAAGTAAATCCATAAACTACCAGTTGACATGAAAAAATAACTGGCTCCCAGCACTTTGGGAGGCCAAGGCGGGAGGATCACTTAGGCCCAGGAGTTCAAGACCAGCCCCAGAAACATAGCAAGACCCTATCTCTACAAAGAAATTTTAAAAATTAGCCAGGTGTGGTAGTGCACACCTGTAGTCCCAGCTACTTGGGAGGCTGAGGTGGGAGGACTGCTTGAGTCTAGGAGGTAAAGGCTACCGTGAGCCATAGTCATGCCACTGCACTTCAGCCTGGGAGACAGAGTGACACCCTGTCTCAAAAAAAAAAAAGATAAAATAATTGGGAGGAAGAGAGAACTGAAACCATTTCCCATGAAAAATTACTGAAGAAATTAGAGATATTTACAATGGAACATGTCCTTAAAGCATGATCAGGACTGTGAACATCAGAATCAACTATTTTATTAGTATTTTAAATGAAGATTCTTAAAGCCCCATCTCAGAAAACGAAACCAAAATCTCTGAGGGAGTTACCACCCTGAGCTCTGCATCATTTAGTAAGTATCTCAAATGACTCCTCAGTCCACTATCCTTTAGACACTCTGAGAAGGACAGGAAGTTGAACTAACACGGACAAGAAAACAATTTAAAATTACATAGGAAAAACCCAGATACACTCAAATCAGCAGATTCTCATCACCTCTAGGAATCTTGTGAGATCAGGCATACGATTATCACTCCTTCTGGGAAACTAAATGGAATAGTGGAAACAGTACCTCACTCCACTCAAATCTCACTCAGTCACCAGCTGTGTGACCCTGCAAAGGCACCAAATTTCTGAGCCTCAGTTTCTTCATCTTCTTTATCTTATGGGATAGGGTAACAGTATTCACTAAAAAGGATGTCTGTGGCCAGGCGTGGTGGCTCATGCCTGTAATCCCAACACTTTGGTAGGCCAAGGCAGACGGATCACCTGGGGTCGGGAGTTAGAGACCAGCCTGACCAACATGGAGAAATCCTGTCTCTACTAAAAATACAAAATTAGCCAAGCATGGTGGCACATGCCTGTAATCCCAGCTACTCTGGAGGCTGAGGCAGGAGAATCGCTTGAACCCAGGAGGCTGAGGTTGCGGTGAGCCAAGATCATGCCATTGCACTCCAGCCTGGTCAACAAGAGCAAAACTCCATCTCAAAAAAAAAAAAAAAAAGTCTGTAGAGCTTAATTGAAAATTATTAAAGGTATCCAGCATGTGAAACTCTTTTTTTTTTTTTTTTTTTTTGAGACAGTCTTGCTCTGTCACCCAGGCTGGAGTGCAATGATACAATCTCGGCTCACTACAACCTCTGCCTCCCAGGTTCAAGCGATTCTCCTGCCTCAACCCCCAAGTAGCTGGGATTACAGGTGCGCATCACCATGCCTAGCTAATTTTTATATTTTTAATAGAGACAGGGATTCATCATGTTGGCCAGGCTGGTCTCAAACTCCTAACCTCATGATCCGCCCACCTCAGTCTCCCAAAGTGCTGGGATTACAGGCATGAGCCACCGCGCCCAGCCCATGTGAAACTCCTGTACACTGTTGGTGAAAATGTAAGATGGTGCACTCACTATGGAAAACAGTATGGAGATTCCACAAAATATTAAAAATAGAATTACAATATGATCCAGCAACTCCGCTTCTGAATATATACCCAAAAGAATTGAAAGCAGGATCTGAAAGAGATACTTGTACACTCATATTCCTATCAACATTATTCACAGGTGCCAAAAGGTGGAAGCAATTTAAGTATCTACCAATGGATGAATGAATAAACAAAATGTGGTATATACATACAATGGAATATTATTCAGCCTTATAAAGAAAGGAAATTCTGATACATGCTACAACATGCATGAACCTTGAGGACATTATGCTAAGTGAAATAACCAGTCACAAAAAGACAAATATTGTATGATTCCATTTACATGAAGTTCCTAGATTAGTCAAATTCATAGAGACAGAAGGCAGAAGGGTAGTTGCCAGGGGAATAGGGTAGGCAGAAATGAAGAATTGTTTAACAGGTATAAAGTTTCAGTTTTGCAAAATTAAAAGAGCCCTGGAGGTCGGTTGCACAACAATGTGATTGTATTTCAGTACTACTAAACTATACATTTTAAAACAGTTAAGATGGTAAATTTTATGTTATGTGTATTTTACCACAATTAAAAATAAAAAGTATCCAGCATGATTCCAGGACTATGATAAACGTTCAGAAAACATTTGGTCCCTTTCCTATAATGCACTAAGAAGGCTACAACATCATTTTTGTGGTATTTCTGCCAAAAATACATAACCTGAATCTAATCATAAAGAAACATTAAATAAATTCAAATTGATGTACATTCTACTAAATAACTGGCTTCTTCAAAAATGCTGAGATCAAAAAAAATAAAGAAAGCCTAAGGAAGTCTTCCAGATTAAAAGGGACTAAAGAGACACAATAACTAAATGCAATAACTAAATGCATCCTGCACCATATCCTAGACTGGGGGGAAAATAAAACTATAAAGGACATTATTGGTACAATTAATACCATTTGAATATGAATTATGAATTAAATAAATTGTATCAATGTTAAATTTTGATACTAAAGTGTGGTTATAAAAGAAAAGGTCTTTGCTTTTAGGAAAAATATATATAGAAATATTGAGTAATAAAAGGATATGATATTTCTAGCTAACTCTCAAATGATTCAAAAAAAAACATGCATATATATAAACATAGAGAATGATAAAGCAAATAAGGAAAAATGTAAATAACTGTGAATTTGAGTAAAAGATATACCAAAGTTCCTCATTCTATTCTTGCACTATCTTGTAAGTTAGAGATTATATCAAAATAAAAAGTCACCGGAAACAGTTCCCATCTTCTCATTTTATGAAGTAACCTGGTATTCCCAAAGTTCCTTATGCTAGTTCCAAAAGATGCTCTCCATCAAAAGTGGATCCCATAGGCAAATAAAATCAGAACCAGCTGTTATCTGTGATGTTCCTTTCCTGAAGGATCACACTGTACAAGAGCACATTAAAGATTTGGAGGCCAGAGCCGGGCACGGTGGCTCACTCCTGTAATCCCAGCACTTTGGGAGGCCGAGGCAGGCGGATCACGAGGTCAGCAGATCGAGACCATCCTGGCTAACATGGTGAAACCCCATCTCTACTAAAAATACAAAAAAAAGTAGCCAGGCGTGGTGGCGGACGCGTGTAGTCCCAGCTACTCGGGAGGCTGAGGCAGGAGAATGGCGTGAACCCAGGAGGCAGAGCTTGTAGTGAGCGGAGATTGTGCCACTGCACTCCAGCCTGGGCAACAGAGTGAGACTCCATCTCCAAAAGAAAAGAAAGATTTGGAGGCTGGGCGCAGTGGCTCATGCCTATAATTGGGAGGCTGAGGTGGGTGAATCATTTGAGGTCAGGAGTTTGAAACCAGCCTGGCCAACATGGTGAAACCCGTCTCTACTAAAAACACAAAAATTAGCCAAACGTGATGGCAGTTGCCTGTAATCCCAGCTACTTGGGAGGCTGAAGGAGAATCGCTTGAACCCAGGAGGTGGAGGTTGCAGTGAGCCAAGATCGCGCCACTGCACTCCAGCCTGGGTGACAGAGTGAGACTCCGTCTCAAAAAAAAAAAACAAAACAAAACAAAAAAAGATTTGGACATGTCCTGAAATAGGAAACCTGTTTGAGCACTTCCTGAGCTTTTCACAACTAAAGTGTTTTTTTAATCTTATGACACTCACATCAGCAAAACTAGTACTCCAGAGAATGAGAGGAGCTAATTTGATAATTTGAGATACAGCAAATATAAATCAGGCAAATCCCACTCCTTCTCAGCCTGGACTCCTACACAGGGCTGCTGGCCTTGGAGAGTCAGCTCTGGATGGACGAAGCACAGGTTTTCTCTGTGCTAACCAGCATCTCTGAAACTGAGCCTGGAACCTTCGTCTTTTGTTCTATCCAGCTAGACTAACCAGTCCAAACTATGGCACTATTTAATACAAAAGCAGCCACAACAAGGACACCAGAAATATCCCTGCTTCATAAGTATATGTTACTATATTTATTGCAAGTTATTAATTTCATTTATAAGTAATCATGTCTCACTCTCCAAATAGACTGAACTCTGATTAACAAGATTATTTCTTACTTCATCATTATACCCCCAACGCACAGTGCCTGACTCACTACAGGTGACCAATATAAATGTCTGCTGATTATATAATGAATTAATCAATGAATAATTACCTCTGATCCAAGATATGATTTGCCTTGTATTAACTCAGGTGCTGCATAAGCCAGACTCCCACAGCATGTCTGTAGATGGTAATCCTTGTTACCCTGCCAATAAGATAAAAATGAAACTTATTAATTACAACGCTTAAGAGAATTAAACCTTGATAAACATTCTTTTTTTTTTTTTTTTTTTTTTTTGAGACGGAGTCTCACTCTGTCACCCAGGCTGGAGTGCAATGGCGCAATCTCGGCTCACTGCAACCTCTGCCTCCTGGGTTCAAGTGATTCTCCTGCCTCAGCCTCCAGAGTAGCTGGGATTACAGGCACGCAGCGTGCCACCATGCCCAACTAATTTTTGTATTTTTGGTATAGACGGGGTTTTGCCATGTTGGCTGGGCTAGTCTTGAACTCCAGACTTCAGGTGATCCACCCGCCTCGGCCTCCCAAAGTGCCGGGATTACAGGCAATGAGCCACCACGCCTGGCCGATAAAAATTATTTGAGCACAAGCAAAGAGAAGCTAGATGAAAAACCACCCCACATAATAAAGGATTTCTGCAGCCAACACAATACTCTGTATACATGTGTGCATGCACGTGTGGTCTCTGCTTCTCTGGATTCCCAACACCACTACAACCTGGCATGAACAAATCCTTTCCCCTTAGCTCAGTCAAATCAGGTTCATACTTCCCTAAATACCCACATACATAAATAAGCCCAGCATATATCCAAGCATCCACGTCTTTCCATCCCCAAGTATCCCGGGGGGAAAAATTTATTTACTGGACCTTATCTCCAGTATGAAATCTTCACAAATACAGAAGAGCTCTATTTTCTTAGAGGGAAAAAAGCAATATGTTACATAGAACAGTGCCTTGAAAGTCTGTTTTCTAGATGCAGTTATAAATCACTCCCTTAGCTTCCAGTTCTGTTAAAATGAGTAATCTGCTCATCCTCCTCTGCCCTCCCACAGAAATACCAAGACATAATGAAAATAAAGCTACAGTCCAACAGCTGTATAGAGTTCTTACAGCTGGCAAAGGATTTGTGAATTGTGAGATGTCATTTACAACTGAAACAACATGCCCAGGAGTGTGCTCCTTGGAAGAAGGCTGAGGCAATCCTCTCCCAGGCAACCCCACTTTCCTTAGATGGTGTCTATGTGTGTAATCCGTGGCAGCCATAAATGAAGGCTCACAGGGTCTGTCACAAACCTTCTCCACTGCCTCCCATGGAGAACAACTTAAACCAGTTTATCTGTTCAAAGTATGTTTTTTCTTTATATGTTTGTCAATCAAAAAAAAAAAAAAAAACCTGCCTTCTAGCATTTGGTTCCCAGAAAAAAGGTTCCACTTATAGTTTCTAAAGAGCCAAGGGAAGGAGAGAAGAATCAGAAAGAATCAGACTTTCTGCCAAAGGGGCAAAATCTGCTTCCCTTTGCACCTAGCTAATTCTGATCAGGGCAGGAAACAGTTATGGGATTACCAAAGCCCGAGACAAGTCTGCAATTTCAACATTCTTAATGAGTGTAGACAGCTCATTTTAGAGATTGTGAGTACCATGATTAGAGAACTCCAGAGGAAGCTTCCAACAGGCAGCCACACAGGAGATCTGCTGCAGACAGCAGAGCCAGAAAGTTCAAAGTCACCTCAAAGAGAAGTTATGCTGGAGAACACCAATACATAACCATGGAATGCAAATTAAGGAAATATATAACAGTTATAAATTTAGAAGTGCATATGGGCTTTTTCCTTCTTTTAAAAGGAAAGCGGATTGTTTCTCAAAATGTAACTAATTGTTAGTTATAGAACCATTTGGATAACAGATTTGCACTAAATTCTCAACTTTTATCTAAACAAACAAAGGCATCATCTAGTGGCAATATACTCAAACTGCAAGCACTGGTCAAGTCAGCATTCTTGCTGTAATAGCCTCAAGTCACCTCTGCACTGCAAATTCTCACAGCATACCCATGGAGTCTTCAGCAGGACCAATCCTAGAACTAGGGCAGTGACTCTCAATCTTGATTGCATGTTATGATCATCTAGAGAACTTACAAAAACTACCCATACCTGGGATGAAATTTAACATTCTTCTCAATGGATGCAACCAAGCTCAATAAAGAATAAGTGGAAGTCAGGACAAAATCACACACTAAGAAATAAATGCATTTACAAAGAACATAGATGCATCTTATTTCTGCACTTACCTTGGGTTTTGCACAGAGACCAAAGTCAATCAGCTTTAATTTATGATATTCATCAAACAGCAAATTTTCCTGGGAAAACAAAGATATTTTGATAACTGTATACTGACTTCCTTATATCACATCCCACCTCTAGCCATTTCTAAAAATGACTTAAGGCCAGGTGTGGCAGCTCATGCCTGTAATCCCAGCACTCTGAAGGCAGATGAGAGAGGATTATTTGAGCCCAGGTGTTCAAGACCAGCCTGGGCAACACAGAAAGACCTGGTCTCACTTTTTAAAAATAAATAAATTAATTAAAATGAGTAAAAATGATTTAAGGTTGTTTCTGTTAAAAAGTCCGGGTACAACAAACTGAAAATGACTAGAAACTAACGAAATGACAAGAAGTATATAAGGGAAAAGAAGGGCTGGGCACAATGGCTCACGCCTGTAATCCCAGCACTTTGGGAGGCTGAGGCAGGCACATCACCTGAGGTCAGGAGTTCGAGACCAGCCTGACCAACATGGAGAAACCCCGTCTCTACTAAAAATACAAAATTAGCTGAGCATGGTGGCGCATACCTGTAATCCCAGCTACTTGGGAGGTTGAGGCAAAAGAACTGCTTGAGCCCGGGAGGCGGGGGTTGGGGTGAGCCGAGACAGTGCCATTGCACTCCAGCCTGGGCAACAAGAGCGAAACTCCATCTCAAAAAAAAAAAAACAAAAAAAACAAAAAAAACAAAAAAAACAAAAAGGGCCGGGCGCAGTGGCTCACGCCTGTAATCCCAGCACTTTGGGAGGCCTAGGCGGGTGGATCACGAGGTCAGGAGATCAAGACCATCCTGGCTAACACGGTGAAACCCCGTCTCTACTAAAAATACAAAAAAAATTAGCCGGGCGTGGTGGCAGGCGCCTGTAGTCCCAGCTACTCAGGAGGCTGAGGCAGGAGAATGGCGTGAACACGGGAGGCAGAACTTGCAGTGAGCGGAGATCGCACCACTGCACTCCAGCCTGGGCGATCACTCTATCACTTCCCCATAAGACTCACTAGCATAAACCATTTTCTCCTATTTTCTCCTTGGTGTTCTGAGAGTCAACTACAAGCAAACACAATTTGTGCCAAAAGCAAATTTAAACCAAAAGAGTGAGTTGAAATCGACGAGTTCAGTATAAACAGATGGAAAAAGATAGTTTCCGGCCAGGTACCCTGGCTCACGCCTGTAATCCCAGCACTTTGGAAGGCCAAGGCAGGCGCATCACTTGAAGTCAGGAGTTTGAAACCAGCCTGGCCAACATGGCAAAACCCCAGGCCTACTAAAAATACAAAAATTAGCCGAGAGTGGTGGCAGGCACCTGTAATTCCAGCTACTCAGGAGGCTAAGGCAAGAGGATCACCTTAACCTGAGAGGCAGAGGTTGCAGTGAGCCAAGATTGCGCCACTGCACTTCAGCCTGGATAACAGAGCAAGGCTCAGTCTCAAAAATAAAAATAAAAATAAATAAATACATACATACATATATAAAATAAAAATACAGAAAATTAGCCAGGCATGGTGGCATACGCCTGTAGTCCCAGCTACTTGGGAGGCTGAGGTGGGAAAATCACTTGAGCCTAGGAGGTTGAGGCTACAGTGAGCCCTGATCATGCCACTGCACTCCAGCCTGGGTGACAGAGTGAGATCTTGCTTAAAAAAAAAAAAAAAAAAACAAGACATTTATAAAGTCACACACAATTGACAGATACACAGAATGCTCATAAATGCATCCAAAAAGCCTACCAAGGCCAGGAGCGGTGGCTCATACCTGTAATCCCAGCACTTTGGGAGGCCAGGGCGAAAGAATAGCTTGAGGTCAGGAGTTCAAGACCAGACTGGCCTGGCCGGGCGCGGTGGATCACACCTGTAATCCCAGCAATTTGGGAGGCCGAGGTGGGCAGATCACAAGGTCAGGAGATTGAGACCATCCTGGCTAACACAGTGAAACCCTGTTTCTACTAAAAAATACAAAAAATTAGCCGGGTGTTGTGGCAGGCGCCTGTAGTCCCAGCCACTCGGGAGGCTGAGGCAGGAGAATGGCGTGAACCCAGGAGGCGGAGCTTGCAGTGAGCCGAGATCGCGCCACTGCACTCCAGCCTGGGCGACGGAGTGAGACTCCGTCTCCAAAAAAATGACCAGACTGACCAACATGGTGAAACCCCATCTCTACTAAAAATAAAAAAATTAGCCGGACATGGTGCCCTGTGCCTGTAATCTCAGCTACTCAGAAGGCTGAGGCAGGGGAACTGCTTGAATCCGGGAGGCGGAGGTCGCAGTGAGCCGAGATCACACCACTGCACTATAGCCTGGGTGACAGAGTGAGACACCACCTCCAAAAAAAAAAAAAAAAAAAGTAAGAGGAAAAAAGAAATCTGATAGGTATGACTGGAGCAACAACAACAAAAAGCAAACCAAAGATAGATTCCTAATCAGATCATTTGTAAACCTAAAAATAACAGGTAAATGACGCTGAAGGTGAGCATCTAACTGTGATGCAGTCACTTACTGGCTTGAGGTCCCTGTGAGCATAGCCCTGGCTGTGCACATAAGCAACAGCAGATACTATCTGACGGAAGACAACCCGGGTCTCCTCTTCTGACAGGCGATCCTGGGAAATTATATAGTCAAACAGCTCTCCTCCAGGGCAGTACTTCAACAGCAATGGAATCACAGATATTGTTACAACTTAAAAAATCACTTCACAGAAATTTAAAATAAAAAAGTACACTTAACTCAGAGATATTATTAATTCGACTTTATAGGGAATGGAACCGAGTAAGGTATATTCAAAAGTACACTCTCAGGATCAAACAAGTCAATAATGACTCCAGGAATGAGAACAATAACTCTTTCTTCGAACAGTTTTATTACCAGTAAGTAGAAGTAAAACCAACTACCACTGTGATTTTAAAAAGCTCACCCAGGGTTTTATATTTTTATAGCAAAGTATTAAAAGCCATTCTCATCTTAATGTACTCTCATTCAGTGTAATTACCTGAAATTTAAAAAGCCAGCAGTAATTATTGTTTCTCTATCCCAAAGACCAGTGGTTTTCAATCTGTACCAGAAGGAGCCCAGGTCTACAGAGGTATCTCAGAGGCTGCAGAACAGGTACCAGAGCACAAAGCTCAAGGCTTTCCATCCCTTTCCCAGGGCACAGAAAACTTTCTCCACTTTTCTGTGAGCTGGGTTTCCATTTTAGCAATATCAATTAAAATTACAAATGCATATAGACTTGACCTCACAGTTCCACATTTAGTTACTGCTCTTATAGATGTACTCACTCATATCAAAAAACAGTACTTTGGCCAGGCGCCGTGGCTCAGGCCTGTAATCCCAGCACTTTGGGAGGCCGAGGTGGGTGGATCAGGAGTTCGAGACCAGCCTGGCCAACCCGTCTCTACTAAAAATACAAAAAATTAGCCAGGCGTGGTGGCGGGCGCCTGTAATCCCAGCTACTCAGGAGACTGAGGCAGGAGAATCGCTTGAACCCGGGAGGCAGAGGTTGCAGTGAGCCAAGATTGCACCACTGCACTCCAGCCTGGGTGACAAAGTGAGACTTCGTCTCAAAAAACAAACAACAACAGCAACAACAACAACAACAACAAAAAACGTACCTTAAAGATCATTTACTGCAGCAGCAGTGTTTGTAAAAGCAAAAGACTAGAAACA
This sequence comes from Homo sapiens, assembly GCF_000001405.40. Lineage (NCBI taxonomy): Eukaryota > Metazoa > Chordata > Mammalia > Primates > Hominidae > Homo > Homo sapiens. The sequence continues at coordinate 36,593,605 of NC_000009.12, read as the reverse complement.
ACTGTCTTAGTCCATTTGGGCTGCTATAACAAAATACCTTACGCTGGGTAATTTATAAACAACAGAAATGTATTGCTCACATTTCTGGAGGCCGGGAAGTCTAACATCAAGGTGCCACTAGATTCAGTGTCTAGTGAGGTTCTGTTGCTCACAGTTGGCATGTGCTATGTATTCTCATATGGTGGAAGGGAGCAAACAGGCTCCCTAAAGCCTCCTGTATAAAGGCACTAATCCCATTCATAAGGGCTCTGCCCTCATAACCTAATCACCTCCTTAAAGGGCCCCACCTCTTAATACTATCACACTGGGGATTAAGTTTCAACATACGAATTTGTGGGGAATAACAGCATTCAGACCTAAATGCTGATACTATATAAACTATGACACGGAATGGAATTCTAGGCAATAATTAAAAAAAAAAAAAAAAAAGAGGAAGCTCTTTACAAACTGATATGAAACAATGTCCAGTACTAAGTTATTAAGACTATAGATTGATATAGTGGCTTACAAAAGTATTATGCTGAGCAAAAGAAGCCTAACAAAAGAATAAGCAAAAGAATACTGTATGAGTCATTTACATCATAGTCTAGAATAGATTAAACTGATCTGCTGTGATAGAAATCAGATGAGCAGTTGCTGGTAAGGGCAGGGTGGCTATGGTTACAGGGAAAACTTCAAAAGGGCTGGAGAAAACTTTCTGAGGTGATAGAGATGTTTTATACTTTGGGGTGGGAGGTACATGGGTATATACATTTGTCAAACTGCATACCTAATGTGTACATTTTATTATATGTAAATTTATACCTCAATAGGAAATGTTTTAATGTTATACAGTAAGTTTTACAAAAAGAAAACAGCCTACTTCATATTTTCAAATAAAGAAATACAAAATAAAGAGAAATAAAAATGTCTAAAATATCTGAATGTGCTCAGATGGTCTCTAAGATCAATTGTTACCTGGGAAAAAAACAAGGTGCAAAGTAATAATTTGTGACCATTTGTGTCACACCATGTGTGTGTAAGCTACACACACACACATATAAAATACACATACGTATAAAATATATGTAGGTATCTACAAGAGACACAAGAAAAGTACATGAATGGCTCAGAGAAAAGAAAATTTGAGGGCCGGGCGCGGTGGCTCACTCCTGTAATCCCGAGCACTTTGGGAGGCTGAAGTGGGCAAATTGCCTGAGGTCAGAAGTTTGAGACCAGCCTGGCCAACATGGTAAAACTCCGTCTCTACTAAAAAATACAAAAATTAACCGGGGGTGATGGCACGTGCCTACAATCCCAGCTACTCAGGAGGCTGGGGCAGGAAAATCACTTGAACCCGGGAGGCGGAGGTTGTAGTGAGCCAAGGTTACGCCATTGCACTCCAGCACTCAAGACAGTGTGAGACTCCGTCTCAAAAAAAAAAAAAAAAAAAAGAAAAGAAATGTGATGACTAGGGTGGGGCATAGTTGCTCACGCCTGTAATCCCAACATTTTGGGAGGCCAAGGAGGGAAGATCGCTTAAGGCCAGGAGTCCAAGACCAGCTTGGGCAACAGGCCAAGACCCCCATTTCTATTAACAATATAATAAAATTTAAAAATTAAAGAATATTGGATGACTGGGATGTAGGGGAAAGAGAGGATTTTGTTTTTTAATATATACTCCCTGTACCTTTTTTTTTTGAGACAGGGTCTCACTCTGTTGCCAAGGCTGGAGTGCAGTGGTGCAATCATAGCTCACTGTAGCCTATATCTCCCAGGCTCCTCACCTGAGCCTCCCAAGTAGCTGGGACTACAGGTGTGCACCACCATACCCAGCCTTTTTTTCTTTTTTTATTTAAGTAAAAACAAGGTCTCACTATGTTGCTCAAGCTAGTCCCGAACTCCTTAGCTCAAGTGATCTTCCCACCTTGGCCTCCCAAAGTGCTGGGATTACAGGCACGAGACACTGCACCCGGCCACTCTCTTGTACCTTTTAAATTTTCTCCTAGGTTCATGGATGCTTGGGAGATTTTAACAATTCTTTTTCTTTTTTGAGACAGAGTCTCGCTCTGTCACCCAGGCTGGAGTGCAGTGGCATGATCTCAGCTCACTGCAAGCTCTGCCTCCCAGGCTCAAGTGATCCTCCTACCTCAGCCTCCCAGGTAGCTGGGACTATAGGCATGCACCACCACAACTGGCTAAGTTTTTGTATTTTTTGTAGAAATGCGGTTTTCCCATGTTGCCCAGGCTAGTCTTGAACTCCTGGCCTCAAATAATCCACCAGCCTTGGCCTCCCAAAGTGCTGCAGTTACAAGCGTGACCCCCTGCGCCTGGCCCTAAGAATTTTATTTGAACAAAGGGATCACCTAAAAATATAAAGAGGTTTTAAAATTACCAAAGAGGTTTTAAAATCAAAGAGGTTTTAAAATGTGGACCATGTAGGTAGATCTACAGTGTAGTAATACAATGTACTACTATACAATAGCTCTAGATCCAAAACATTCAACGTTATAATTTTTTTGTTTTTATTTTTTAGAGACAGGGGTTTGTTCTGTCACCCAGGCTGGAGTACAGTGCCATTAACGTGGCTCACTGCAGCTTCAAACTCCTGGACTCAAGCAATTCTCCCGCCTCAGCCTCCTGAGGAGCTGGAATGACAGGTGCGCACCACGCGCCATCACACCCGGCTTTTTTTTTTCTTTTTTCTTTTGTATGTAGAGACAGGGTCTTGCTATGTTACTGAGGCTGGTTTTAAACCACTGGTTTCAAATGATCCTCCCGCCTCAGCCTCCCAAAGTGCTGGGATTATAGGCATGAGAGGACCCGGCCAAAATTATGATTTTTAAAATATGCTTTTAAAACAGTGCTATCCTGTGAAAATCATGTGCAAATTACATATTATTTGGCTGAGACTAACGAAAACTAAAGAAGTTGAATAATACAAGTTCTAAAGACATCTTTCAAGACAAAAATGGCAAGTTAAAACTTGAAATTGCTTGGTTTACATAAAAGACACTGGAAGCTACCCAGTGCTGGGGGTTGAACTGTCACTGGATCAGGGTAAGCCTAAACCTTGGGTCCTTTTAAGAAGAGAGACATTTGGACAGAGACACAGCTACACAGAGAGGAAAACACCATTTGAAGACGGAGGCCAAGATGGGAGTGGTGCATCTATAAACCAAGGAGTGCCAAGGACTGCCAGCAACTACCAACAACTAGCAAAGAGGCAGGAAACAGATTCCCTCTCAGAACCTCCAGAAGGAACCAGCCTTGCCAACATTTTGATTTCAGACTTCAAACCTCCAGAACTGTCAGACAATGAGTTTCTGTTGCTTTAAGCCACCAAGTCTGTAGTAATTTGTTCCAACAGCCCTAGGAAATTAATATACCATATAAAACTAGAATGAGGCTGGGCACGGTGGCTCACGTCTGTAATCCCAGCACTCTGGGAGGCCGAGGAGGGCAGATCACAAGGTCAGGAGATTGAGACCATCCTGGCTAACACGTGAAACCCCGTCTCTACTAAAAATATAAAAAATTAGCCGGGCATGGTGGTGGGCGCCTGTAGTCCCAGCTACTCAGGAGGCTGAGGCAGGAGAATGGCGTGAACTCGGGAGGTGGAGGGTGCAGTGAGCAGAGATGGCATCACTGCACTTCAGCCTGAGCGACAGAGCGAAATTCCGTCTCAAAAAAAAAAAAAAAAAAACTAGAATGAGTCCTTCCCTCTAGGAGAAAATTCTAACATATTCTATCTAGTAAACCATACTACCCCATTAGGGGTGTATTAGAAAAATGACATTTACATTGAATCTCCAACTTATTATATACATCTATTTAATCTAAATTGTTACAAATGGAACAAAACAGGTAAGTCGCTTAACATCTCTTCTAATCTTTCAGGTGAAATGTACTTTTCTCTTTTACTATTGATAAAGTGATCAAATGTTTTCAGGTATCTGGAACATACTACTAACCTCAAGAACCATGAATATTTTGTTGGCTGTCTCTAGCACATGGTAGAGTTGACATATATGCTGATGTCTCAGGTTCTTCAAGGCCTCAATCTCCGTTTTGATCCGGGGCAAATCACTCTGTGACAAAACATCATATGGAATGAGCAATAAACTTATTCAGGTGGTGTTCCAAGCTCCAATACTAACAGCTTTAATACTAAGTAGCTGGCCGGGCACGGTGGCTCACACCTGTAATCCCGCACTTTGGGAGGCCGAGGCGGGCGGATCATGAGGTCAGGAAATCGAGACCATCCTGGCTAACACGATGAAACCCTGTCTCACTAAAACTACAAAAAAATTAGCCGGGCGTGGTGGCAGGAGCCTGTAGTCCCAGCTACTCAGCAGGCTGAGGCAGGAGAATGGCGTGAATCCGGGAGGCGGAGCTTGGAGTGAGCCGAGATTGCGCCACTGCACTCCCGCCTGGGCAACAGAGCAAGACTCTGTTTCAAAAAAAAAAAATACTAAGTAGCAAAAGCTATCAAAAAGCCCCCCAAAAACTGTTCAACACTACAGAAAAATATAGCAAAATTTATTTGCATGTGCATAAAAAGGGCATTGGAGATTTTATGAAAGACAGGTTCAATGTGGGTCAACAGTACAACATCCAGAAAACAATCTCAGACTCCTTAGAAGGTTAGCATTCCAAACAAGGAAAATGACAGAAACACTACTCAGTCATCATGCCTGAGCTACCACTTTCAGCCTCAGCAACACCGTTTAAGAAGCATGCTGAGCAAAAAACCAGTGAACTTAGGTGAAAGGTATATGGGTATTCACTGTCTCAGTCTCCAATCTTTTCTGAGGTCTTGAAACTTTCAAAATAAAAAGTTGGGTGGGGAGAGGAAGATAAGCCAAGCTGAAAAAACTTTAAAGGACAGAAGCCTAGAGATATCATCAAGTAACAAGTAAAACTTCATTATAAAAAGGGACCCTGAGGCAGGGCGCAGTGGATCACGCGTATAATCCCAGCACTTTGGGAGGCTAAGGTGGGCGGACTACCTGAGGTTGGGACTTTGAGACCAGCCTGACCAACATGGAGAAACCCCATCTCTACTAAAAATATAAAATTAGCCAGGCATGGTGCCGCATGGCTGTAATCCCAGCTACTCGGGAGGCTGAGGCAGGAGAATTGCTTGAACCCAGGAGGTGGAGGTTGCGGTGAGCCGAGATCATGCCACTGCACTCCAGCCTGGGCAACAAGAGCGAAACTCCGTCTCAAAAAAAAAAAAAAGGGAGGGACTCTGGGCCAGGCGCGGTGGCTCATGCCTGTAATCCCAGCACTTTGGGAGGCCAAGGTGGGCAGATCAACTGAGGTCAGGAGTTCAGGACCATCCTGGCCAACATGGAGAAAGCCCGTCTCTACTAAAAACACAAAATTAAAAATACAAAATTAGCCGGGCATGGTGGCGCATGTCTGTAATCCCAGCTACTCTGGAGGCTGAGGCAGGAGAATTGCTTGAACCCTGGAGGTGGAAGTTGCGGTGAGCCGAGATCGATCCAGCCTGGGAAACAAGAGCAAAACTCCATCTCAAAAAAAAAAGGACTCTGATTGGGTGTGGTGGCTCACACCTGTAATTGCAGCACTTTTGAGAGGCTGAGGCGGGCAGATCGCGAGGTCAGGAGTTCAAGATCAGCCTGGCCAACATGGTGAAAACCCATCTCTAATAAAAACACACACGAAAAAATTAGCCAGGCATGGTGGCGGGTGCCTGTAATCCCAGCTACTTGAAAGGCTGAAGCAAGGAGAATCACTTGAACCTGGGAGTGGCCGAGATCGTGCCACTGCACTCCAGCCTGGGGACACAGCGAGACTCTGTATCGAAAAAATTAAAAAAAAAAAAAATACAAAATTAGCTGGGCGTGGTGGCACATGCCTGTAATCCCAGCTACTCAGGAGGCTGAGGCAGGAGAATCGCTTGAACCCAGGAGGCGGAGGTTGCCATTGCACTCCAGCCTGGGCAACAAGAGCGAAACTCCGTATCAGAAAAAAAAAGGCGGGGGGGCTCTACAGTGGCTCATGCCTGTAATCCCAGCACTTTGGGAGGCCGAGGCAGGCGGATCACGAGGTCAGGAGTTCAAGACAAGCCTGGCCAAAATGGTAAAATCCCGTCTCTACTAAAAATACAAAAATTAGCCAGGCATGGTGGCAGGCACCTGTAATCCCAACTACATGGGAGGCTGAGGCAGGAGAATTGCTCGAACCCAGGAGGCAGAGGTTGCAGTGAGCTGAGATCACACCCCTGCACTCCAGCCTGGGTGACAAAGCAAGACTCCATCTTGAAAAACAAATAAAATAAAAAGGGACTCCGTCTTAATGGCCAGTGTCTCAGGACCCAGTTATCCAGGACTATGCAACTAGATATCATGTCTTGACAAAGAATCAACTGTAACTTTCACTATCTTGGTATGATAATCTTCTTTCTTTGTGGGGAGGAAGCCTGATGACTAAAACCATGGAAGTAATCGGCCAGGCGTGGTGGCTCACACCTGTAATCCCAGCACTTTGAGAGGCTGAGGCAGACGGACCAAGAGGTCAGGAGATCGAGACCATCCTGGCTAACACGGTGAAAACCCGTCTCTACTAAAAATACAAAAAAATTAGCTGGGCGTGGTGGTCCCAGCTACTCTGGAGGCTGAGGCAGGAGAATGGCGTGAACCTGGGAGGCAGAGCTTGCAGTGAGCCGAGATCGTGCCACTGCACTCCAGCCTGGGTGACAGAGCAAGACTCCATCTCAAAAATAAATAAATAAATAAATAAAACCATGGAAGTAATCAAAATATTATTAAAATCCTAGAAAATAACTAAAATGAGCATAATAACAACAGAAAATATAAAAACAAGTTTAGAAATCATGAATTAATGTCATATTACGCTTTAGAATAAGTTTTGAGCATCAGTGTGATAACACATTTTGTAATAACATTTTGTTTGCTATTTAAGTATTTGAAGTGTTAAAGTAAGTCATACTAAAGTTATAACTGAAATTTAAACTGCTTAAGGGAATTAATCTAATTGATACTCATGTTTAAATGCTCAAGAAAAATGGTTTTAATGCTTTTTTCTTAGATTAATAAATAGAAAACAAAAAATTGAATAAAACAAAAAAACTGGAGGAAAGCCTGAATTGTCCACTGACAGATAATTAAAAATAATTTCTTATACTGGTCATTGTATGATTTTAGCATATATTTAGGAAGAAATTCAAATGATTTAATGACATTGCTGTAACAAAACTACTTACATACTCTTTGACTTTTTTTTTTTTTTTCTGGAGACAGGGTCTTGTTCTGTCATCCAGTCTGGAGTGCAGCGGCACCATCTCGGCTCACTGCAGCCCAACCTCCCAGACTCAAGTGATCTTCCCACCTCAGCCCCGCAAGTAGCTGGGACTACAGGTGTGTACCACCATGTCCAGCGAAATTTTTTGTATTTTTCGTAGAGAAGGGCTTTCACCTTGTTGCCCAGGCTGGTCTCAAACTCCTGAGCTCAGGCAATCCACCCACCTTGTTCTCCCAAAGTTCTGGGATTACAGGTGTGAGCCACAGTGCCTGGCTCCCTTTGACTTATTTATGTGTTAATCAGAACTTATATCTTTAACAATTAAAAAAGTAGGTAACAATTAATATTAAGCCCTATCTCATTCCAACAATAAAAACATCAAAAAAAAACTTTTTTTAGACAAGATCTTGCTCTGTTGCCCAGGCTAGAGTGCAGTGGTGCAATCACAGCTCACTGTAGCCTCAACCTCCTAGGCTCAAGGGACCCTCCCACCACCACCTCCCAAGTAGCTGGGACTACAGGCATGCACAACCACACCTGGCTAAATTTTTTTTATTTTTTGTAGGGACAAGACTTGCCATATTGCCCAGGCTAGTCTCGAACTCCTGGCCTCAAGCAATCCTCTGGCCTCAGCTTCCCAAAGTGCTGGAATTACAGGGATGAGCCACCACACCCAACCAAAAATTATTTTTTATGTTTGATAATTAAGGACAATTACAAAATGTTAGGCTGGGAGTGGTAGCTCACACCTGTAATCCCAGCACTTTAGGAGGCCGAGGTGGGTGCATCACTTGAGGTCAGGAGTTCGAGACCAGCCTGACCAACATGATGAAATCCTGTCTCTACTGAAAATACAAAAATTAGCTGGACATGGTGGCACACGCCTGTAGTACCAGCTACTCAGGTGGCTGAGGCAGGAGAATCATTTGAACCCAGGAGGCAGAGGTCGCAGTGAGCCGAGATCGCACCACTGCATTCCAGCCTGGTGACAGAGCAAGACTCCATCTCAAAAAAAAAAAAAAAAAAAAAAACAAAGAATGGTAGAAGGAATTAGAAAAAAAAGATGACTCAAGGTGACTTCAAACACTGGAATGGGTACAGAAGCCCCAGAAAAACCACCAAAAGAGACAGGCTTTATCTCAACATAAAAATAACTTTTTATACATTGTAGCCAAGACCACAAACTGAATGGGCTGCTTTAGGAGATAACAAGCTGTTCCCCCTGGAAGAATTCACATAGAGGAAAAAGAGGCTGATTTGGAAAAGGATTTAATTAGATAACTTCTAAAGCCATTTTGAATAAAATGCTGGGACAGGCCAAGTACAGTGGCTCACCCCTACATACCCTGTACTTTGGGAAGCTGAGATGGGAAGACTGCTTGAGGCCAGGAGTTTGAGACCACCCTGGGCAACAGAGTAAGACCTTGTTTCTAGAAAAATGTTTAAAAATTAGGCAAGCATAGTGGCATGTGCCTCTGGTCACACCCACTCAGGAGGCTGAGGTGGGAGGATCACTTAAGCCCAGCAGGTACAGGCTGCAGTGAGCTGTGATTGTGCAACTGCACTCCAGCCTGGGCAACAAAGTGAGACTGTCTCAAAAAAAAAAAAAAAAAAGCTAGGACATAATATTTATCTATTTGCCTATCTATAGTACCAAAATGATTTATATTTAGTAAGAGTATCATAAGAAAATAAAGATGGGGCCGGGCGCGGTGCCTCACGCCTGTAATCCCAGCACTTTGGGAGGTCGAGGCACGCGGTTCACGAGGTCTGGAGATCGAGACCATCCTGGCTAACATAGTGAAATCCCATCCCTACTAAAAAAAAAAAAAAAAAAAATACAAAAAAATTAGCCAGGCATGGTGGCGGGCACCTGTAGTCCCAGCTACTCAGGAGGCTGAGGCAGGAGAATGGCGTGAACCTGGGAGGCGGAGGTCGCCGTGAGCCAAGATCGCGCCACTGCACTCCAGCCTGTGCGACAGAGCAAAACTCCGTCTCAAAAAAAAAAAAAAGTAAAGAAAAGAAAAGAGGCCGGGCGCGGTGGCTCACGACTGTAATCCCAGCACTTTGGGAGGCCGAGGCGGGCAGATCACGGGGTCAGGAGATTGAGACCATCCTGGCTAACACGATGAAACCCCGTCTCTACTAAAAATACAAAAAATTAGCCGGGCGTAGTGGCGGGCGCCTGTAGTCCCAGCAACTCGGGAGGCTGAGGCAGGAGAATGGCGTGAACCCGGGAGGCGGAGCTTGCAGTGAGCCGAGATCGCGCCACTGTACTCCAGCCTGGGCGACAGAGCGAGACTCCGTCTCAAAAAAAAATAAAAAATAATAAAGAAAAGAAAAGAAAGATGGGACACATTAATATCCAGAAACACCTACAGACTACAGACTGCAGATGGATGCTACAGACTTCAAATATGTCCCACTGCACTGCGTTAAAATCTGAAGAACAAAGTAATCCCTTCCCCCAGATTACTTTTTAAAACCACAGATCTATACGTTTTTTAAAAGGTATAAAAATATTATTCTAAGAGCAGTAACTAGAACATTAGAACAATTCAGGTTTTAATTCACGAAACTGATCTATAAGTGGACTATTTTTTAAATAAATCTAAACTTACCCCTAGTGTGTTTTTATCCATGATTTTTATAGCTACCATCTCTCCAGTAAGGATATGGCAGGCAAGTTTGACCTTTGCAAAGCCACCTAAGTAGGAAAATGTATTATGAAAGCATAAGCAAGGACTCAGGCACAAACACCTTTTTATATATAATAATTTTAAAAGACTCTATCAAGCCAAATTTTCCTAGAAGTTTGTGGCTTTTTTTTCCTGTTGCTGCTTGTTATCCAATGTCTAGCTGAAGGTTTTTTTTTTTTTAACCATGATAGTGTATCTCAAACTTTGTAATAAAAAAAAAACAGAACTCACTTTAGAAATCTGCTTTATGAATAATCCTGCAATTAAATTTCCTTTATAATTAACACTGCTAGAACACAATATAAAGTTGCTGAGGCCAAAGACAAATTATATGAAACTTCCACTCAGTTTTAAATATTTGAGGCCGGGCGCGGTGGCTCACGCCTGTAATCCCAGCACTTTGGGAGACCGAGGCGGGCGGATCACAAGGTCAGGAGATCGAGACCATCCTGGCTAACACAGTGAAACTCCGTCTCTACTAAAAATGCAAAAAATTAGCCTGGCATGGTGGCGGGCACCTGTAGTCCCAGCTACTCGGGAGGCTGAGGCAGGAGAATGGCATGAACCCAGGAGGTGGAGCTTGCAGTGACCCGAGATCGCACCACTGCACTCCAGCCTGGGCGACAGAGCAAGACTCCATCTCCAAAAAAAAAAAAAAACTTTGAAGATAAGCAATTATTTTTCAAAACTGAACCAAAAGCTGGACAAATGTCTCCACTCAGGCAGCTAAAAGAAATCCCCAAATTAACATTTCCAAAAAGAACTTCCTAGTAGTCTCTCCCATGGTCTTCTTCCTTTCAACAAAGGGCAACTCCATTTTCCCTGGTGCTCAGGCCAAAAACCCTGGAACCATCCTTAGCCCTTCTCTTTCTCTAGCACTCCAACCCATCAATAAATCCCATTAGCTCTGTCCTCAAAATATATCAATGGCTACCTTGGGGGAAAGCAGGCAGATACTCCCTGGAAACGGTCTATGTCTTGATCCGCACAGGGAATATATGGGTATGTGTATACATATATATGTGTAAAACTCCACTGAGATTATTGCACTTTGCATATTTTACTATATGTTATACCTTAATAAAAACATACACACATAGGTGTGTACATATGTGTGTGTAAAATGTCCCACCCCTTTCACTGCTTTTACATCACCCTCATCCACACCACCATCATCTCTAGCATCAACACCTGAATTATCGCAATAGTCTGCTAACATCTCCCTGCCTCTGCTCTTGCCCTCCTTCATCCAACCTTTTATCTACCAAGCAGCCACAGCAACTCTGTAAAAACAAAGGTCAAATTACCCCTTAACTCAAAACTCTCCAATGACTTTAATTTAGAATAAAAGTCAAGAAATAAAAGAAGCCTGGGCGCGGTGGCTCATGCCTGTAATCCCAGCACTTTGGGAGGCCGAGGCGGGTGGATCACGAGGTCAGGAGATCGAGACCATCCTGATTAACACGGTGAAACCCCGTCTCTACTAAAAATACAAAAAATTAGCCAGGCATGGCGAGCGCCTGTAGTCCCAGCTACTTGGGAGGCTGAGGCAGGAGAATGGCGTGAACCCGGGAGGCAGAGCTTGCAGTGAGCCAAGATCGCGCCACTGCACTCCATCCAGCCTGGGCGACAGAGTGAGACTCCGTCTCAAAAAAAAAAAGAAATAAAAGAAATATTTAGAATAAATTATTTAGAATAAAAGTCAAAGTCCTTGCAATAACCTACAGGGCTTCTCCTACTATTCTCCTCTCTGCTTGCTCCACTTTTTCTTACTGAAGTAGGTAGAAGAATTTTAAAACTGTGTGGGTTAGACGAAAAAGCTCACACCTACCCAAATAATCTATACTCTCAAATAGTTGATCTATCCACTGCCTCCAAAAAAAAATAACAATTACCTGTCCCAATAGTTTCATGTAATTCATAATATTTGAGAAGTTCATCATAATCTTTCATAGTCCTCTTGCAAGTTTATTTGGAATTAGAAAAAGAACCTAGAAGACAGAGAGTACATAATCAATAAAGGAAATAATACCGGATCATCTCCTCCATTCTTGTAACTGCAAATCTAAATAAGTCTTATGCATTTACATGATACTGAAAAAACTGATTATTGGCCATATGAAAAAAAGGATTCTTATCTCACACCATACATAAAAATGAATTCCAGATAGACTTAAAAAGTATGAAACATAAACCTTTAAAACTTTTTAAAGAATATTGTCATTATTTCAGGATAGGAGAGGATCACTTAAATAAAGTACTAATAATAATAATGAAAAAAATTAATATATTAAACAACATTAAAATTAAGAACTTCAGCTGGGCACAGTGGTGCGTGTGTTGTCAGCCACTTGGGAGGACAGCTTGAGCCCAGGAGTTCGAGGCCAGCCTGGGCAACATAGCAAGACCACATCTATAAAAAAAATAAAAATAAAACTAAGCACTTCTATACAACCAAAGACACCATCAAAAAAAGAAAACCATAAATGTGAGAAGATACTTGCAACAAATATAATAGTGGATGTACACAGGAAACACATAAACTCTGACAAAACAATAAGAAAAACTCAACAGCAAAATAAGCAAATGATACAAAAAACTTTTCTCAGCCGGGCATGGTGGCTTACGCCTGTAATCCCAGCACTTTGGGAGGCCAAGGCAGGCAGATCACGAGATCATGAGTTCGAGACCAGCCTGGCCAACATGGTGAAACCCCATCTCTACTAAAGATACAAAACATTAGCCAAGCGGGGTGGCATTCACCTGTAATCCCAGCTACTTGGGAGGCTGATGCAGGAGAATCGCTTGAACCCGGGAGGTGGAGGTTGCAGTGAGCCGACATCGTGCCATTGCACTCTAGCCTGGGCGAAACAGCCAGACTTTGTCTCAAAAAAAAAAAAAAAAATTTCTCAAAGAAACACAAATGGCCAACAAAAACATGGAAAAGGGTGTCTCTGAGCCTACTCTGGCTCGGGAGGCTACCTGAAGAAAAAATAATTTAAAAAAAAAAGACACGAAGCTGGGCAAGGTGGCTCACACCTGTAATCCCAGCACTTTGGGAGGCTGAGGAGGGTAGATCACCTGAGGTCAGGGTTCGAGACCAGCCTGACCAACATGACGAAACCCGTCTCTACTAAAAATACACAAATTAGCCAGGCATGGTGGCAGGAGCCTGTAATCCCAGCTACTTGGGAGGGTGAGACAGGAGAATCACTTGAACCTGGGAGGCGGAGGTTGCAGTAAGCTGAGATTGTGCCATTGCACTCCAGCCCGGGCAACAAGAGTGAAACTCCGTCTCAAAAAAAAAGGCCGGGTGCGGTGGCTCACGCCTGTAACCCCCACACTTTGGGAGGCCGAGGCGGGTGGATCACAAGGTCAGGAAATGGAGACCATTGTGGCTAACATCATAAAACCCTGTCTCTGCTAAAGCTATAAAAAATTAGCCAGGGGTGGTGGCACGCGCCTGTAGTTCCACCTACTTGGGAGGCTGAGGCAGGAGGCAGAGGTTGCAGTGAGCCGAGATCACGCCACTGCACTCCAGCCTGGGCAACGGAGCGAGATTCTGTCTCAAAATAAAAAAAAAAAAAAAAAAAAAAGAAGACATGAAAAAATTATCAGTAGTCATCAGGAAAACCCAAACTAAGACCCCAGTCATACACAATTTTATTATGTATATGATATGTATTTTATTATTATGCTTCACAACTTATGTGGGTTACATATACTGTTAATTATACATCAAATAATAAATAAAAATTAGTTGTAAAAAAAATTAGGTAGATCTTATTGATTTTGTCTCCCTGAGTTTTAAAATTAAGTAGTTTATTTTTTAAAAACCATAGAGCTAAGTAGGGCCCTGTTATGCACATTAATATACAAAGTCACACTCATACCATCTCCATCTTACTTGTGGAAAATAACCTCGTGGTTGACTTTTAGAGATCAGCAGTGTGTCTGGAAAAACTGCTAATGCAGTTCTAGAAAACTCTTGAATTTGCTCTTATTCATTTATTCATACAGATATTTACTGAGCACCTATGATATGCCAAACCTGCCCTTGGCACTAGGGCTATAATGGAGAAGAAATATGATTCTGCCCTCATGGAGTGTATATTCTAGTGGAGAAGACAAAAGGCAAATAAGTAGACAACAAATTAATACTTATAATTTATAGGCCGGGTGCAGAGGCTCACGCCTATAATCCCAGCACTTTGGGAGGCCAGGGTGGGCGGATCACGAGGTCAGGAGTTCGGGACCAGCCTGGCCAACATAGTAAAACCCGGTCTCTACTAAAAAATATAAAAATTAGGCTGGGCGCGGTGGCTCATGCCTGTAATCCCAGCACTTTGGGAGGCCAAGACGGGCAGATCACCTGAGGTCGGGAGTTCGAGACCAGCCTGACCAACATGGTGAAACCCCGTCTCTACTAAAAATACAAAATTAGCCAGGTGTGGTGCCACATGCCTCTAATCCCAGCTACTCGGGAGGCTGAGGCAGGAGAACTGCTTGAACCCAGGAGACGGAGGTTGCAGTGAGCCGAGATCGTGCCACTGCACTCCAGCCTGGGCAACAAGAGCGAAATTCCATCTCACAAAAATAAATAAATAAATAAATATATAAATAAATTAGCCAGGCCTTGTGGTGTGCGCCTGCAATCCCAGCTACTCGGGAGGCTGAGGCAGGAGAATTGCTTGAACCCAGGAGGCAGAGGTTGCAGTGAGCCAAGATCGTGCCACTGCACTCCAGCCTGGGAGACAAAGCAAGATTCTGTCTCAAAAAATAATAATTACTATTATTATTATCTATACTAAATACTGAAATAAAAATAAGCAACAGTGGTTTCTGAGAAGGTAACATTTAAGCCAAGCTCTAATTCAAAGGATGAGAATTGAGAAAATCAGCCCTGCCAGTAATCAGACTGTGATATTCCTATCAAAACTTGAACAATGGTTTCAATAGAATCTGAACATAACCATATAAACAATGTTTCCATACAAGGCTGTTAAAATAAAGATCCTTTATTTGACTGACTTCATTGTCTTCAATGACATCCTCAGGCCCACCTCATTCTTCCCTCATTCTGCCCCTTTCAACTCACTCTGAGACTACCCAAAATTCTCAAGAGTATGGTTTCTCTTGCGCAGCAAACTAAATACATCTAATGATTTTTACTACAGATGTGGTCTTTGGTCTGTAGGCCTTAACAGTCATAGCCCACAAAGAAATAGACGGAGAATATTCCAGAAAGAGGGAATTTAGGTGCAAAGATCCTAGAGGAAGTAAAAGTTGACAGGTACTGAACTGAGGCTGCTTTTAGAGGTAACAGGTGATGGAAATGCAGCTCTGGAGCTGGGACAATTGATTAGCCATGAGGTGAAGGAAAAAAAAAAACACATTGGATCTCTATCTCACACCATACAAAATCAGTAACAGTTGTAAAGACTTAAAAGCAAAAGACAAATATTTGAAATGTTGAAAACATAGATAGCTAAGGTCTTCCCCATACCAAACCTACAGCTAGGAGTGGCAAAAGGAAGAAGCGTAAAGATAGCTGGGCATGGTGGCTCATGTCTGTAATCCCAGCAATTTGGGAGGTCAAGGCAGGAGGATTGCTTGAGGCCTGGAGTTCAAGACAAGCCAGGACAATATAGCAAGACCTTGTCTCTACTAAAAATAAAAAACAGCCAGGCGCAGTGGCTCACACTTGTAATCCCGGCACTTTGGGAGGCTGAGGCAGGCGGATCACCTGAGGTCGGGAGTTCAAGACCAGCCTGACCAACATGGAGAAACCCCGTCTCTACTAAAAATATAAAAAATTAGCCAGGCGTGGTGGCCCATGCCTGTAATCCCAGCTACTAGGGAGGCTGAGGCAGGAGAATCACTTGAACCCGGGAAGCAGAGGTTGCGGTGAGCCGAGATCATGCCACTGCACTCCAGCCTGGGTAACAAGCGAAGCTGTGTCTCAAAAAAATAAATAAAAATTAAAAATTAAAATCTAGTCGAGGCCAGGTGCAGTGGCTCACGCCTGTAATCCCAGCACTTTGGCAGGCTGAGGTGGGTGGATCACTTGAGGCCAGGAGTCACATGCCACCACTCCTGGCTAGTTTGTTTGTTTGTTTGAGATGGAGTCTTGCTCTGGTGCCCAGGCTGCAGTGCAGTAGTGCGATCTCAGCTCACTGCAACCTGCGCCTCCCAGGTTCAAGCTATTTTCCTGCCTCAGCCTCCCAAGTAGCTGGGACTACAGGCGAACAACAACACCATACCCGGCTAATTTTTGTATTTTTAGTAGGGATGGGGTTTCGCCATGTTGGCCAGGCTGGTCTCAGACTCCTGACCTCAGGTGATCCACCCTCCTTGGCCTCCCAAAGTGCTGGGATTACAGGCGTGAGCCATCGCCCTGGCCAAGCAAGCCTGTTTAAGCCTCAAACTGATGAGTGGCAGGTGCCACGTAAACTACCTTCAAATTCTCTGTTCTTCACCCTGCCCTTATCCAGAACTGAGTGACTAGCATGTTACTAAGCCTTAATAATGGCCATGAATTTGGAAGACCTAGAGTGTGAGTTCAACCTCAGAAGTGTGGTGAGCTTATAAAGGAAGACAGAGCTTAATAAGAGAAGGCCCTTCATACAATGATGAGTAGTCTTCTTAAAATTGAGGTGGAAAAAATTCTGAATGAACTTATCAAAACCCCAAAAGCCACAAAGGACATTTTAAAAATATCATTTTTCTATGCCTGAAACACTGATTCCATGAATCATTTTACTTGGAGAGAAAAAGAAAATTATTATCAGCAAGTAAAAAACGGCTGGGCACAATGGCTCCCGCCTGTAATCCTAGCACTTTGGTAGGCCAAGGCAGGTGGATCACCTGAGGTCAGGAGTTCGAGACCAGCCTGACCAACATGCAGAAACCCCGTCTCTACTAAAAATACAAAAATTAGCCGGGCGTGGTGATGCACACCTGTAATCCCAGCTGCTAGGGAGGCTGAGGAAGGAGAATCGCTTGAACCCAGGAGGTGGAGGTTGCAGTGACCCGCGATCACGCCACTGCACTCTGGCCTGCACGACAGGAGTGAGACTCCAGCTCAAAAACAAACAAAAAAAATTTGGTCAATGAATAGAAAACTAGAGCAGAAGCTTTAGAAGGAAAAATATCGACACTCAAGAAAAAAATTAAATCAGCTTTAAAAAACAAGGTTCAGTCTTCAACATCAAAGCAGAAATAGCACACAAAAAGATAACATGCAAAACGACATTCTGATAAAATAAACAATATTAAGCCATTTCCTAGGAAGAGATCACACTGGACCCAACTTAATAAGTAGGTTGAACATTTAACCTAACGAAATCTGCATGAACACAGTAGGCAAACATTAGAAGAAGCAAGGTCAGGTCCCAGTACTGAGGGAAAACTGTTGATAGAAAATGAAACATTCTGCTTCCACTGGAGTAGAAAAAGTTACTCAAGGCAAGGAGATATCACAGAGGACAAATTTATTCTCACTGGGCACCTGAAGGCACAGGATTAAATACTTTAAACAGCAACACTAATTCAGAAATATTTTAAAGGGCATTTGTCAGTGGGGCAAATGTGGGGATAAACTGGAACCTCATCCTAAAAACAAACAGGAACCATAGGACTAAGAAATTCCAAAAGGCAATAAAAACAGTAAAAGTATAGAGGTCAACCTAAGGCTCAGAAATCTTTGGAATCCTGATACAGAAGAAAAAAGAGAGCAGGAGAATGGAAATGGAGGAACACTGGACTATAAATCTGAATGCACATGTTTACATTCCATGCAAAGGACTGGGCTATTTCAAATTGTCACTCAGAAAGAGAAAGCAATTTGTAAGATGCTGGAATTCACTTCCCAGATTAGGGATTTAAGAGTGTCATAATTAACTTAATAGACTTCTCCCAAAAGAGTTATAAACATCCCAGTCATGGCCTCTGGAAAACTAGCAGAGATGGGCAAGTTGTTTATTTAACAACTAAGGTAAGACTGAAGCCATGCACTTTTTTTTTTCTTTCTTTCTTCCATTTTCTCTATCTACCCGCTTCTCTCAAATTACATCATGTCTTTGGATGAGTAATACCAATGTGGGCCTAGATTATAGCTACTGAATCAAGGGAATATCGTTGTTGCTGCAATGTGAGAAAACTGGTGCTTACATTACAAACTCCTACACTAATAGCAGATTATACTTGATTTGTAAATCTTTGTGAATGTGGAGCTGGTTCTAAATATTCTCATGTGCCCTGTTTATCCTCTAGAGTTTGTTAATATAGAATACAGAAAAGCCTTGAGAACAGAGTAACCCAACTTTGTAGCTGCTGAAGGAGGTATATTATCAGTCAACGCGGAAGACAGCCTCTCAACTGTGAATAATGAAGAAGGAAATTAGACCCCAATCAGACACCTGAGTGCCCTTCTGGGCTTGACTAAATAAATAGAAGAATTGGGGGTATATATAATTGGGTTTTGTTTTTGTTTTTGTTTTTGAGACGGAGTCTTGCTCTCTTGCCCAGGCTGGAGTGCAGTGGCGTAATCTCGGCTCACTGCAACCTCCGCCCTCTGAGTTCAAGCAATTCTGCCTCAGCCTCCCAAGTAGCTGGGATTACAGGTGTGCGCCACCACGCCCGGCTAATTTTTTGTATTTTTAGTAAAGATGGGGTTTCACCATCTTGGCCAGGCTGGTCTTGAACTCCTGACCTCACAATCCATCTGCCTCGGCCTCCCAAAGTGCTGGGATTACAGGCGTGAGCCACCGCGCCCGGCCTATAATTGGGGTCTTTAACTTCTCAGAAGAGCAAGGAATTGGGATAATGAGAAGACGTTTATGGTTAAATTTTAAAGGATAGCAACAAATTGGGGGCATTTTTTAACAATATTATTTGGGCTATTCTATTACTTGCCGCATAAATACATTTACCTTATCTACAGAGCTTGGAAAGACACTGATGCTGAGGATAATTTCAAACAGGAAGTAGAATACAGAATGGTTTTTTGGGTTTTGTCTGTTTATTTGCTTGAGACAGGGTCTCGTTCTGTCACCTAGGCTGGAGTGCAGTAGCTAGATCTCGGCTCACCGCAACCTCCGCCTCCTGGGTTCCAGAGATGCTCGTGCCTCAGCCTCCCCAGTTGCTGGGATTACAGGCATGCGCCACCATGCCCGGTTAATTTTTTTTTTTTTTTTTTTTTTTGTATTTTTAGTAGAGACGGGGTTTCGCCATGTTGGCCAGGCTGGTCTAGAACTCCTGGCCTCAAGTGATCCGCCCACCTCGGCCTCCCCAAGTGCTGGGATTACAAGCGTGAGCCACCACGCCGGGCTCAGAATGGTTTATAATGTGGCCTGTAACACATTTAATTAGCATCCTGCCCTGCTCCCTTGCAAAGGCTTCTGGGAGCACCAACAATGAGGCACTCATTGGGATTGATCTGCCCATCTAGTTGGTCCACAGTAGTTACACAGAAAGGACAGACCCTTGGGAGAAACAAGCCCACGAAGGCCCAGTAAGGGCTTTTCTGATTTTTCTGATTTTCTAGCCAGACTCCATGGGAAACAGAAACCAAAATTTAAACCAAAGTTAGGAACACTGGCCTCTAAACAACAATCCAGGCTCCTGATACTCACCTCATTCCACTAACAAAGGAGAAATACCAAAGGTAATTACCCGTCCTAAGTGCTAGGGACCTGATTCCTCTCTTGGGCAGCCTTCCCTGAGTCTACCCTTTCCAGCTCCCACAACCCTACACCAGGTTTCTTGGTGGGAGCAATCCTGCTGCTCCTATTACTGATACAGCATTCGGTGAAAATTCCCCTTTTAGGCCGGGCGTGGTGGCTCACGCCTGTAATCCCAGCACTCTGGGAGGCCAAGGCGGGCGGATCACCTGAGGACACGAGCTGGAGACCAGCCTGGCCAACGTGGTGAAACCCCGTCTCTACTAAAAATACAAAAAATGAGCCGGGCGTGGTGGCGGATGTCTGTAAGCTCAGCTACTCGGGAGGCTGAGGCAGAAGAATCGCTTGAACTTGGGAGGCGGAGGTTGCGGTGAGCCGAGATCGCGCCATTGCACTCCAGCCTGGGCAACAAGAGCGAAACTCCGTCTTGAAGAAAAAGAAAAAAAATTCCCCTTTTAGTGTGAGCCTCTGAAGCCACTACTCTGGGGAGATGATAGGAGAGGATGGATTTGGACTCTGAAAAGGTAGTGATAACACATCTCCTTTTTTATTGCACTGCCCCAGTAAACTGAGTTGTACAAACAGAAAAAACTCGAAACCCTTCTGTCAACTTTTTTCGCGGGGAAGAGTCACGGAAACTGGAAACGGGAAATGGGAATTCACGTCTATCGCAGCCTCCTAGGTGGCAAACGCTTAGCCTGAACACCTCTTCAATAACCCTGTTAAGTAGACACGGTCATTATCCCCACTTACGGAGAAGAAAACCGCGGGTCGGAAAGGTCAAATATCTTATCCAGGGAACAGGGCTGGTAAAGCGCGGGGCTCCGATGAAATCCTCCAGTCTCCCGAGAGCCAGGAGCAAACTGGGTTTGGGCCGCTGCGCCCCGCACAGCCCAGACCCCAGCCATCAACTGCGACTGCGGCGGGCAGGCGGGAGAACTGACCTGAGGGGCGGAGGGCACGGCTGAGCGGCGCCCGACAGAAGGACAGGGGCCTGCTGTCCTGAGAGACGCGGCTGGTACGGCGTTCCTAAGAATCTTTTCGATCGCCGGGTTGTGGCCGCTTCCGCCCGCCAAGGGAATCAAATCTCCCGGGCCGGAAGGGGCGGGGACGCGGCGGGGGCGCGCGCGGCGCCGGATCCCAGGGAAGCGGACGCGCACGGCAGGCGGGGGCGCGCACAGTGCCGGGGGGTTCTCACCGGGGCAACGGCTCGCGGTCGCTGTGGAGCCGTGAAAGGGATGGCCGGGAGGTCCACTGGGCTGCGAGGGGTGACTTGAGGCCTTGGTCTTGCCCCGGAGGGCACGTGATGATTTTCCAGGTGGCGTGGATATGCCAAGTCTCCACAGAACCCAACTTTCTTACGTTCTCTTCCTAAAATTGACGTGCCCTCTGGCAGTCACAGTTCTCATTTTCGTCCTCCCTTGCCCACTGGCCGTTCTCCCACCCAGCAAAGACAGGAATACCTCCCCCTCTCCAAAATGTGTTGCCACGAGGAATAAGAACCCCAGTAGCTGAGACTACAGGCACGCGCCACCACGCCTGGCTAAATTATTTGTGGGTAGAGACGGGATCTCGCTATGTTGGCCAGGCTGGTCTCGAACTCCTGGGCTCAAGCGATCCTCCCGCCTCAGCCTCCCAAAGTGCTGGGATTACAGGCGTGAGCCACTGTATCCGGCCCAGAAAATCTTTAGACAAATTAAACTTTACAGAGTTGAATTGACCAAAGAATGAGTCCAAAATCCAGTAATCCCTGGAACCAAAATAGGTTCAGAGTGATTCGGGCTGCCATATGTTCAAATAACATTTATGGACAGAAAAAGGAAAATGACTTACAGAAATTGCAGTCAAGTATGGAAACAGCTGGATTGGTTGCAACTCAACCTCTGACTATTTTGAGCACTGTTTAAACAGTTGGCCACCTGTGATTGGCCAAAACTCCGCTGCTGTGATTGACTGAGACTCGCTACTTGTTACAAGGTTACAGTCTCTTTACACATTTACAATTGTAGTTGTCTACAATTCACTATGTATGGAGAAACTGTTAGGCCAGGTGCAAAGGCTCACATCTATAATCCCAGCACTTTGGTGGGGGGGCGGGGGCAGATCATTTGGGGTCAGGAGTTCGAGACCAGCCTGACCAACATGATGAAACCCTGTCTCTACTAAAAATACAAAAAATTAGCCGGGCTTGGTGGCGCGAGCCTATAATCCCAGCTACTCAGGAGGTAGAGGCAGGAGAATCTCTTGATTCTCTCTGCTGGGAGGCAGAGGTTGCAGTGAGTAGAGATCGTGCCACTGCACTCCAGGCTGGGCAACAGAGCAAGACTCCGTCTCAAAAAAAGAGAAAGAGAGAAAGAGAGAGAGAAAAGAAAGAAAGGAAGAGAAGGGGAAGGGAAGGGGAAGGGAGGGGAAGGGAGGGGAAGGGAAGGGAAGGGAAAGGAAAGGAAGGGAGAGAAAGGGAGAGAGAGAAAGAAATAAATTGTTAGTCTGAACTTAAAATGCATAAGGAGGCAGCTTTATGCTAAACTTAATTTAACATGGTCATCTGAATCTTCAGCAAATCATAATCTTTTTGCTGGTGGAGGGTCTTGCCTCCATGCTGCTGATTGATCAGGGTGGTGGTTGCTAAACGTTGGGATGGCTGTGGCAATTTCCTAAAATAAAACAACAATGCTGCATCGATGGACACTTCCTTTCATGAAAGATTTCTCTGTAGCATGTGATGCTGTGTGATACCATTTCATCCACAGCAGGACTTCCTTCAAAGTTAGTTCTCTGAAATCTTGCCACTGCCTTATCAACAAAGTTTATGGAATATTCTAAATCTTTTGTTGTTATTTCAGCAATGATCACAGCATCTTCACCAAGAGGAGCTTCCATCTCAAGAAAGCACTCTCTCTTTGCTCATCCGTAAGAAGAAACTCCCCATCTATTCAAGTTGGATCATGAGATTGCAGCAGTTCAGTCACATATTCAGGCTTCACTTCCAATTCTAGTTCTCTTGCTGTTTCCACCAAATCTGCAGTTACTTCCACGAGTGAAGTCTTGAACCCCTCAAAGTCATCCATGAGGGTTGGAATTAATTTCTTCCCAACTCCTGTTAATGTTGATATGGTGACCTCTTCCCATTAATCATAAATGTTCTTTTTTTTTTTTTTGGAGATGGAGTCTCACTCTGTCACCCAGGCTGGAGTGCAGTGGCGTGGTCTCGGCTCACTGCAAGCTCCGCCTCCTGGGTTCACGCCATTCTCCTGCCTCAGCCTCCTGAGTAGCTGGGACTACAGGCGCCCACCACCATGCCCGGCTAATTTTTTTGTATTTTTAGTAGAGATGGGGTTTCACCATGTTAGCCAGGATGGTCTTGATCTCCTGACCTCATGATCCGCCTGCCTTGGCCTCCCAAAGTGCTGGGATTACAGGCGTGAGCCACCGTGCCCGGCCATAAATGTTCTTAATGACATCTAGAAGAGTTAATTCTTTCCAGAAGGCTTCCATTTTACTTTGCCCAGATCCAGCATAAAATCACTATCTATGGCATCTGTAACCTCACAAAATGTATTTTGTAAATAAAATGACTTGACAGTCAAAATCATTCCTTGATCTATGGCCTACAGAATGGATGTTATGTTAGCAGACATCCAAACAACATTCATTTCCTTGTACATCTCCATCAGAGCTCGTGGGTGACTAGGGGCATTATCAATGAGCATTAATATTTTGAAAGGAATCTTTTTTTCTTAGAAGTAGGTCTCAAAAGTGGGCTTAAGGTATGCAGTAAACCTTAGCCAGCTGTGGCGGCATATGCTGGTAATACCAGCTCTTCAGGAGACTGAGGCAGGAGGATCACTGGAGCCCAAGAGTTCGAGGTTACTGTAAGCTATAATTACGTCACCGCATTCCAGCATGGGTGGCAGAGTGAGACCCTGCCTCAAAAAAACAAACAAACAAACAAAAAAGATATTCAGTAAACCCTAGTATAAACAGTTATACTGTCATCTAGGCTTTGTTGTTCCATTTATAGAGCATAGGCAGAGTAGATTCAGCATAATTCATAAGGGCTCCGGGATTTTCAGACTGGCAAATGCACACTGGCTTCAACTCCAAGTCACCAGCTGCGTTAGCTCCTAACAAGAGAGTCAACCTGTCCTTTGAAGATTTGAAGCTAGGCATTGACTTCTTCTCTTTAGCTAAGAAAGTTCTAGATGGCTCCTCTTCCAACCTAGAACTATTTCCTCTACATTGAAAATTTGTTATTCAGTGGAGCCACCTGCATCAATGATCTTAGCCAAATCTTCTGTATAACTTGCTGCAGCTTCTACATCCGCACTTGCTGCTTCACTGCGCACGTTTATATTACAGAGACAACTTTTTTTCTTTTTTTGAGACGGAGTTTCGCTCTTGTTGCCCAGGCTGGAGTGCAATGGCGCCATCTCGGCTCGCCGCAAACTCGCCGCAAACTCGCCCTCCCAGGTTCAAGTGATTCTCCTGCCTCAGCCTCCCAAGTAGCTGGGATTACAGGCATGCACCACCACGCCCAGCTAATTTTGTATTTTTAGTAGAGACGATGTTTCTCCATGTTGGTTGGGCTGGTCTCAAACTCCTGACCTCAGTTGATCTGCCCGCCTCGGCCTCCCAAAGTGCTGGGAGTACAGGCGTGAGCCACTGCACCCAGCCTACAGCTTCTTACCTTAAATCTCATGAACCGACCTCTGCTAGCTTCCAAATTTTCTTCTGCAGTTTCCTCACCTCTCCTAGCCTTCACAGAATTGAGGAGAATTGTGGCCTTGCTTTGGATTAGGCTTTGGCTCAAGGAATTTTGTGTCTGGTTTGATCTTCTATCCAGACTACTATCTATCAGCAGTAAGGCTGTTTCGCATTCTTATCACTCATGTGTTCAGTGGAGTAGCACTTTTAATTTTCTTCAAGAACTTTTCCTTTGCATTCACAATTTGGCTAATTATTTGGCACAAGAGGCCTCCCTTTCAGCCTATCAGCTTTGGACATGCCTTCCTCACTAAGCTTAATCATTTCTAGATTTTTATTTCAAGTGACAGATGTGTGACTCTTCCTTTCACTTGAACACTTAGAGGCCATTGTAGGGTTATTAATTGGCTTAATTTCAACATTGTTGTGTCTCAGGGAATAGGAACGCCTGAGGAGAGGGAAAGAGACGGGGAACAATCAGCCAGTGAAGCAGTCAGAACACACACAATATTTATCAATTAAGTTTGCAGTCTAATTACGGGTATAGTTCATGGTACCCTAAAACAGTTACAAGAAGAGCATCAAGATCTCTGGTCCGCTGTGCAGGCTCACGCCTGTAATCCCAGCACTTTGGGAGACAGAGGTGGGCGGATCACGAGGTTAGGCGTCAAGACCAGCCTGACCAACACGGTGAAACCCCATCTCTACTAAAAATACAAAATTAGCCAGGCATGGTGGCGCATGCCTGTAATCCTAGCTACTTGGGAAGCTGAGGCAGGAGAATCACTTGAACCCAGGAGGCAGAAGTTGCGGTGACCCAAGATCGCGCCATTGCACTCCAGCCTGGACAAAAAGAGCAAAACTCCATCTCAAAAGAAAAAAAAAAATGGCCTGACTGGGTAGGTCAGGCCATTTGGGATGTAACATCCTTTTTTTTTTTTTTTTCCTTTTTTCGAGATGGAGTCTTGCTCTGTCACCCAGGCTGGAGTGCTGTGGGCTCACTGCAACGTCCGCCTCCCCAGTTCAAGTGATTCTTCTGCCTCAGCCTCCCAAGTAGGTGGGACTAAAGGCGTGCGCCACCATGCGGCTAATTTTTGTATTTTTAGTAGGGATAGGGTTTCACCATATTGGCCAGGCTGGTCTAGAACTTCTGACCTCGTGATCTGCCCATCTCAGCCTCCCAAAGTGCTGGGATTACAGGCATGAGCCACCATGCCTGGCCGGGATGTAACTTCTTAACATCTCTTTGTTTTTTTTGTTTTGTTTTGTTTTGTTTTTGAGATGGAGTCTCACTGTGTCACCCAGGCTGGAGTGCAGTGGCACAATGTTGGCTCACTGCAACCTCCACCACCTGGGTTTAAGCGATTTACCTGCCTCAGCCTCCCAAGTAGCTGGGACTACAGGCACGCACCACCACGCCCGGCTAATTTTTTGTATTCTTAGTAGAGATGAGGTTTCACCATGTTAGCGAGGCTTGTTTTGAACTCCTGACCTCAGGTGATCCACCCACCTCGGCCTCCCAAAGTGCTGGGATTACAGTGTGCCACAGCACCTGGCCGAATGTAACATCTCTACCAAGAATAACACCATTAGCAGCAATAATAAAACCCACAACAGTCTTTTAAATGATTTATGTGCTACATCCATGCATCATCTCTATACTCAAAAGCCTGCCCCTCTCTCACAGGGTAATTTGTGCTATTCATTCTTTCATCAGTCACCCATGTCTACCCTGTGCCAGGCCCTGTTCAGGGCAATACCAGAGAAATGAAGAAATGAGACATGGTTTCTGCCCAAGGGAGCTCACAGACAGAGGAACCAGACCCATAGACAGGCCCATACTACAGTTGGCTAACACTAATGAAGGACCCCATAGAAGTGCTAAATACAAGTGCAGGTAGCTATCTTGTTTCCAGCTCAGAGGGAAGTGATTGAAATATTTTCTACTGGAGCCAGGCCTTGAAAATAATAGAAAAATCCAACGGGGGAAGAAGAGCATTCCCCAGGCAGGGGAAAATATGTGTGCAGAAGCAGGGGGCGAGAAAACACAAGTCACCGTGGAGAAAGGCCAGTTGGGTGGAGCACAGGATGGAAAAAGGCAGGAGAGGAAGAGCTGGTAAGCAGGGGACCCAGTGAGAGAGCCTTGTGTGCCAGGCTAGAGCTGGGAGGTGTGCTGACCAGGAAAAGAATGGATTTACATTTCAGAGAAAGCCAGAGCAGACGCTGGGCCACCATAGGAGTGTGCCAGGCCTGCCAAAGCAGGGTGAGAGCTGTGCTTCTCTGTTGGCAGAGTGAATGCCACGAGTCTCAGTGCCATGTGTGGCTGAGTCATCAGTGGAACGGGAGAAAAAGGCTGGCGTCCAGTCTCTGAAGGCGCCTCTCAGTGCAAAGCCCTTTGCCTTCTGTGGGCCTGCAGGTTAGCCAGCCTCGGGCAACAAGCCATGCACAGATTTTACATCCAATCCAAGGGCAAGTGGGAAGCCATAGAAAATTAGGGTTTTGGTCACAGTCCTGCTAGAAAAGGAAATAGTTTTAAAAAGCTATTACAAATACTTTAGGGATTTGAATTCAGAAACTACTTCAGGAATTTGTTAAATTTTGTAATTATGATAACTGAACTGTTGTTAGGTGGTTATATAAGAGAAAGTCCGGGCTGGGAGTGGTGGCTCACGCCTGTTAATCTCAACACTTTGGGAGGCCGAGGTGGGTGGATCACCAGAGGTCAGGAGTTCATGACCACCTTGACCAACATAGTGAAACCCCATCTCTACTAAAAATACAAAAATTAGCTGGATGTGGCGGCACACGCCTGTAGTCCCAGCTACTCGGGAGGCTGAGACACGAGAATTGCTTGAACCCAGGAGGCGGAGGTTTCAGTGAGCCGAGATCGTGTCACTGCACTCTAGCCTGGTGACAGAGCAAAACTCTGTCTCAAAAAAAGAAAAAAAAAAAATCAAGACTGGGCGAGATGGTTCACGCCTGTAATCCCCTGTAATCCCAGCACTTTGGGAGGCCGAGATGGGCTGATCACGAGGTCAGGAGATCAAGACCATCCTGGCTAACACGGTGAAACCCCGTCTCTACTAAAAATACAAAAAATTAGCCGGGCGTGGTAGTGGGTGCCTGTAGTCCTAGCTACTCAGGAAGCTGAGGCAGGAGAATGTCATGAACCTGGGAGGCAGAGCTTGCAGTGAGCTGAGACCGCGCCACTGTACTCCAGCCTGGGCAACAGAGCGAGACTCCATCTCAAAAAAAAAAAAAAACTTAGCCGGGCGTGGTGGCATGTGTGACTGTAATCCCAACTACTGGGGAGGCAGAGGCGGGAGAATTGCTTGAACTGGGGAGGCGGAGAGCCACTGCATTCCAGCCTGGGCAACAGAGCAAGACTCCACCTCAAAAAAAAAAAATTATATGAAAATAAAAAGTAAGCAAGGTATAGTGTAGTCCCAGCTACTTGGGAGGCTGAGGTAGGGGAATCGCTTGAGCCTGGGAGGCAGAGGTTACAGTAAGCTGAAATGGCACCAGTGCACTCCAGCCTGAGCAACAGAGCAAGATACTGTC
The DNA here is from genome assembly GCF_000001405.40 of Homo sapiens. NCBI lineage: Eukaryota > Metazoa > Chordata > Mammalia > Primates > Hominidae > Homo > Homo sapiens. Next base: position 36,565,686 of record NC_000009.12, on the reverse strand, counting down.
TCAGAAAAAAAAAAAAAAAGTAACAAAACATTTCAGGAATCTTAACTCTGTTTATCCCTTAGTACCCACCACAGAATCTTAACATTACTATAATAAACAATGATTTATTTCTTAAGTTTCCTTCTCTGCTAGACACTAGATTACAGGGTTGTAAATACATTATTTCTAATCCTGTAAAATAATTATTTCTATTCCCATTTTACAGATGAGGAAACTAAGGCCGAAGGACATGAGGTATTAGCCAGATATGGTGGTGTACACCTGTGGTCCCAGCTATTCAGGAGACTGAGGTGGAAGCATTACTTGAGCCCAGGAGTTCAAGGCTGCAGTGAGCTAAGATCATGCCACTGCACCATAGCCCAGGTGACAGACAGAGCAAGACCCCACCTCTAATTTTTTTTTTTTTCTTTTTTGAGATGGAGTTTCACTCTTGTTGCCCAGGCTGGAGTGCAATGGCATGATCTCAGCTCACTGTAACCTCTGCCTACCAGGTTCAAGAGATTCTCCTGCCTCAGCCTCCCTAGTAGCTGGGATTACAGGCATGTGCCACCACGCCTGGCTAATTTTGTATTTTTAGTAGAGACGGGGTTTCTCCATGTTGGTCAGGCTGGTCTCGAACTCCCATCCTCAGGTGATCCTCCCACCTCGGCCTCCCAAAGTGCTGGGATCGCAGGCATGAGCCACTGTGCCCAGCCCCCCATCTCTAAATTAAAGTAAAAAATAAATAAAAATAAAAGATGGTTAGGTATCTAGTAAGAAGCAGAGCCAGGGATCCAAAGCCAAGGCTTTTTCCACTGCAGTTCTTAGTGTTCGCTGAATTAAATATAGGAGTTAGAATAATTAAAGTTTAAGGTACCGGCCAGGTGTGGTGGCTCACGCCTGTAATCCTAGCACTTTGGGAGGCGAAGGCGGGTGGACTGCCTGAGCTCAGGAGTTCAAGACCAGCCTGGGCAATATGGTGAAACACTTTCTCTACTAAAATACAAAAAATTAGCCAGGCATGGTGGCACACGCTTGTCATCCCAGCTACTCAGGAGGCTGAGGCATGAGAATTGCTTGAACCCAGGAGGTTGGAGGTTGCAGTGAGCCGAGATGGCACCTCCACACTCTAGCCTGGGCAACAGAGGAAGACCACAAAAAAAAAAAAGTTTTAGGACAGGCTTGGTGGCTCATGTCTATAATCCCAGCACTTTGGGAGGCTGAGGTGGGTGGATCACCTGAGGTCAGGAGTTCGAGACCAGCCTGGCCAACATGGTAAAACCCCCAATCTCTACTAAAAAAAAAAAACAAAACTAGCCAGGCCTCGTGGTGGGCACCAGTAATCCCAGCTACTCGGGAGGCTGAGGCAGGAGAGTTGCTTGAACTCGGGAGGCAGAGGTTGCAATGAGCCGAGATTGTGCCACTGCACTCCAGCCCAGTGACAGAGCAAGACTCCGTCTCGCCCAGTGGCTCATGCCTGTAGTCCCAGCACTTTGGGAGGCTGAGGTGGGCAGATCATGAGGTCAGGAGTTAAAGACCAGCCTGGCCAACATGGTGAAACCCTGTCTCTACTAAAAATATAAAAATTAGCCAGGCATGGTGGTGCACGCCTGTAATCCTAGCTACTCAGGAGGCCGAGGGAGAACTGCTTGAACCCGGGAGGCAGAGGTTGCCATGAGCTGTGATCGCACCACTGCACTCCAGCTGGGGTGACAGAGTGAGACTCCATCTCAAAAAAGAAAAAAAAGAAATATAAGAGACTCTCTGTATTAATGAGAATGACGATGAACACTGTGATGTAAAGAGCACCCTCATTATTAGGCAAAGGCAAAATGTTATACAGAGGAATATTATGCAATTATTTATCAAAAGAATTAAGTAAGCCTACTCCCATTAGTATTACTAAATAAAATAGCAACATATTAGGGACATACCTATGCTAAAAGATCAGCCATTTCAAATTTAAATAGGCATGCTGTATTTTTATTTGCTGTATCTGGCAACCCTAAATGCTATGGAAAGATGTCTGGTTTTTTTTTATGTGAATGAAATAAGCTACTGAGATACATAAATAGCACAGCCCCACTTTTGTTTAGAAAAATGTGGAAGTATAGAAAGAAGTCTGGAAAAATATATATTATAGTGTTAACATTCTCTCTAGGGAATGAAATTCTCTAGAGTAGGCACAGAGAGAGAAGACTGTTAGTATTTACTTTCTAAACTACTGTATTGCCTGCATTTTTAATTGAAAATTTTATTGAGATAATTGCAGATTCATATGCAGTAGTAAAAAATAACACAGGCTGGGTGTGGTGGCTCACGCCTGTAATCCCAGCACTTTGAGGGGCCGAAGCAGGCAGATTGCTTGAGCCCAGGAGTTTGAGACCAGCCTGGGCAGCATGGTGAAATCCCATCTCTACAAAAAATATAAAAATCAGTCCAGTGTGGTGGCTCACACCTGTAGTCCCAACTACTCAAGAGGCTGAGGTGGGAGAATCACCCAAGCCCAGGAGGTTAAGGCCGCAGTGAGCTGTGATGGCACCATTGCACTCCAGCCTGGGTGACAGAGCAAGTCTCTGCCTCAAAATAATAACAATAATAATAATAATAATAATAATAATACAAAGAAATTCCTTGTATGCTTTACTCAGTTTCAACCAAGGTAACATTTTGCAAAACTATAGAACAATATCGGCCGGGCGCGGTGGCTCGTGCCTGTAATCTCACCACTTTGGGAGGCCGAGGCAGGCGGATCACGAGGTCAGGAAAATAGCTTGAACCCGGGAGGCGGAAGATGCAGTGAGCCAAGATCCTGTCACTGCACTCCAGCCTGGGTGACAGGGTGAGACTCCATCTCAAAAAAAAAAAAAAATACCAAAGAGATATAAATATAAGAGTGAGGATTAATAAGGAGAATTGGCTCTGGTAATTATGGGAGACACAAGAGGGCATCTGCAATCTGGAGATCTTAGTATGCCAGTATTGTGGTTCAGTCCAAGTTCAAAAGCCTCAGAACCAGTGGAGCTGATGGTACAGTTCTCACTCTGAGGCTGCAGGCTTGATAACCCTGCAGGAGGGTGATTGTAAGCCCTGGAGTCCCAAGTCTGGAAAGCCTGGAATTCTGATGTCCAAGAGCAAGAGGAGGAGAATATCCCAGCTCTGGGGATGAGGGGAGTGAGGAAGGAGGAAGAGGAAATCCTTTCCTCTCTTTTTTTGTTCTACTGGGCCCCTAGACAATTGGATGGTGCCCATTCACACTGAGAGTGAATCTTCCCTTCTCAGTCCACTGACTGTGAGGAAACATCCTCACAGACACATCCAGAAACAATGCTTTACTAGTTCTCTAGGTATTCCTCAATCCAGTAGAGGCAACACCTAAAATTAACCATCACAATTATATAAAAATATTAAAACATCAACATGATCAAAACACAAATAAATTCAAAAGCAAATAAAAAATGTGGGAAATATTTATCACTTATGTACGGACAAGGGGCCAGCTTATTTAATACATAATTTCTCCAAATCAATAAGGAAAACTAAATCAATAAAAAAACTAAGGCGGGCATGGTGGCTCACGCCTATAACCCCAGCACTTTGGGAGGCCGAGGCGGGTGGATCACGAGGTCAGGAGATCGAGACCATCCTAGCTAACACAGTGAAACCCTGTCTCTACTAAAAATAAAAAAAATTAGCCGGGCATGGTGGCGGGCACCTGTAGTCCCAGCTACTCGGGAGACTGAGGCAGGAGAATGGTGTGAACCCGGGAGGCAGAGGTTGCAGTGAGCAGAGATCTCGCCACTGCACTCCAGCCTGGGCGACAGAGTGAGACTCTGCCTCAAAAAAAACAAACAAAAAGGCCTGGCGTGGTGGCTCACGCCTGTAATCCCAGCACTTTGAGAGGCTGAGGTGGGCGGATCACAAGGTCAGGAGATCAAGACCATCCTGGCTAACACGGTGAAACCCCGTCTCTACTAAAAATACAAAAAATTAGCCAGGCATGGTGGCGGGCGCCTGTAGTCCCAGCTACTTGGGAGGCTGAGGCAGGAGAATGGTGTGAACCCGGGAGGCGGAGCTTGCAGTGAGCCGAGATGGCTGGTGCCACTGCACTCCAGCCTGGGTGAGAGTGCGAGACTCCATCTCAAAACAAAACAAAACAAAACAAAATGCTAACAACCAGAACAACCAGAATAACAATAGGGAAAAGATATGAACAGACAGTAAAAACAAATGACTCTTAAACATATGAAAAGATGTTCATGGCCAGGCACGGTGGCTCACCCCTGTAATCCCAGCAATTTGGGAGGCCAAGGCAGGTGGATCACAAGGTCAGGTGTTCGAGACCAGCCTGACCAACATGGTGAAACCTCATCTCTACTAAAAATACAAAAATTAGCCGGGTATGGTGGTGCACACCTGTAATCCCAGCTACTCAGGAGGCTGAGGCAGGAGAATCGCTTGAACCTGCGAGGCAGAGGTTGCAGTGAGCCAAGATCACACCATGGCACTCCATCCTGGGCAAGAGGAGCGAAACTCCGTCTCAAAAAAAAAAAAAAAAAGGAAAAAAATTTTAAGAATGTTGATGATGAAATGAAGGCACTTCCTTTGAGACAGGAGTTTGGCAGGACTGGTTTCACAAGACACAGCTCACAAAGACCCAGTTGATAAAACATACAGTAAAAGAAGCCGGTCAAAACCCACCCAAACCAAGATGGCCATGAAAGCGACCCCTGGTCATCCTAACTGCTTATCATATGCTAATTATAATACATTAGCATGCTAAAGGAAGCTCCCACAAGTGCAATGACAGTTTACAAACACCCTGGCAATGTCTGGAAGTTACCCTATATGCTCTGAAAGAAAGAGGAACCCTAGGTTCCAGGAATTCCCTGCCACTTTCCTGGAAAACTCATGAAGAATCCACTCCTTGTTTAGCATATAATAAAGAAATAACCATAATAACCATAAAAAGAGCCACCCACCAGCCCTCAGGGCTGCTCTGCCTATGGAGGCTACTTTTTATTTATTTATTTATTATTTTTTTGAGACGGAGTTTCGCCCTTGTTGCCCAAGCTAGAGTGCAATGGCGCGATCTCAGCTCACTGCAACCTTTGCCTCCTGGGTTCAAGCAATTCTCCTGCCTCAACCTCCCAAGTAGCTGGAATTACAGGCACGCACCACCCCGCCCGGCTAATTTTTTGTATTTTCAGTAAAAACCAGGTTTCACCATGCTGGTCAGGCTGGTCTCGAACTCCTGATCTCGTGATCCACCCCCCCTCAGCCTCCCAAAGTGTTGGGATTACAGGAGTGAGCCACCACTCCCAGCTACTTATTTATTTTTTTAAGACAGTCTCACTCTGTCGCCCAGGCTGGAGTGTAGTGGTGCGATCTCAGCTCATTGTAACCCCTGCCTCCGGGGTTCAAGTGATTCTTGTGCCTCAGCCTCCTGAGTAGCTGGGATTACAGGCATGTGCCACCACACCCACCTAATATATGTATTTGTGTAGAGATGGCATTTCACCATGTTAACCAGGCTGTGAATTCCTTCCTGTGAAGCCAGGAACCCAAGGGGTCTCCCAGGCTGAACCCCAATTCTGGAGTTCACCCTGTGACACCTTCAAACCTTAACCAAAGCTGGGCACAGTGGCTCATGCCTGTAATCCCAGCACTTTGAGAGGCTGAGACGGCCAGATCACATGAGGCCAGGAGTTCGAGACCAGCCTGGCAAACATGGTGAAACCCTGTCTCTACTAAAAATGCAAAAATTAGCCAGGCTTGGTGGTGGGTGCCTGTAATCCCAGCTTATCGGGAGGCTGAGGCAGGAGAATAGCTTGAACCCCAGAGGTGGAGTTTGCAGTGACCCAACATCACGCCACTGCACTTCAGCCTGGGCAAGAGAGAGAGAACCTGTCTCAAAAACAAGCGAACAAACCTTAACCAAGAGAACAGAAAGCACATAACTAAGAGGGTATAATTGTCAGAGGCATTTGAACTACAGCAACTCCGTCTTGAATAAAGCTGGGTAAAATGAGGCTGAAACCTACTAGGCTGCATTCCCAGAAGGTTAAGGCATTCTAAGTCACAGGATGAGATAGGAGGTCAGCACAAGATACAGGTCATACAGACCTTGCTGATAAAACATGTTGCAGTAAAGGAGCCAGTTAAAACCCACGAAAACCAAGATGGCGACGAGAGTGACCTCTGGGTGTCCTGACTGCTACGTTCCCACCAGCACCATGACAGTTTACAAATGCCATGGCAACGTCAGGAAGTCACCCAATATGGTCTAAAAAGGGGAGGCATGAATAATTTACCCCTTGTTTAGCATATCATCAAGAAATAACCATAAAAATGGGCAACCAGCATCCCTCAGGGCTGCTCTGTCTGTAAAGTAGGCATTCCTTTCTTCCTTTACTTTCCTAATAAACTTGCTTTCACTTACTCTAGTGACTCACCCTGAATTCTTTCTTGTGTGAGATCCAAGAACCCTCTCTTAGGATGTGCATCAGGAGCCCTTTCTGGTAACATAGTTATCAGAGAAATGATAATCAAGGAAACCGTAAATTGCTGGGAACAAAAGTGGAGAAGGAAAGGGACCTGCATGGAGCCCAGAGGGAAAAAGGATAAACTTTTTTTTTTTTTTTGAGACGGAGTTTCACTCTTGTCTCCCAGGCCAGAGGGCAATGGCGCAATCTCGGCTCACTGCAACCTCTACCTCCTGGGTTCAAGTGATTCTCCTGCCTCAGCCTCCCAAGTAGCTGGAATTACAAGCATGTAACACCACGCCTGGCTAATTTTTTGTATTTTTAGTAGAGACGGGGTTTCTCCATGTTGGTCCTGCTGGTCTCGAACTTCCGACTTCAGGTCGTCCGAGTTTGGGAGTAGCCTGGTCAACATGGTGAAACCCCGTCTCTACTAAAAATACAAAAAAAAAAATTAGCTGGGCATGGTGGTGGGCACCTGTAATCCCAGCTACTTGGGAGGCTGAGGCAGGAGAATCCATTGAATCCAGGAGGCAGAGGTTGCAGTGAGCCGAGATCGTGCCATTGCACTCCAACCTGGGCAACAAGAGCATGACTCTGTTTCAAAAACAAGACAAAACAAAACAAAACAAAACAGAAACAAAAAATTAGCTGGCCATGGTGGCGTGTGCCCGTAGTCCCAGCTACTAGGGAGGCTGAGACAGGAGAATTGACTGAACCGGAAGGCAGAGGCAGTGAGCCGAGATTGCGCCACTGCACTCCAGCCTGGGCGACGAAGGGAGACTCTGTCACAAAAAAAAATAAATAAACAAAAAAATACAAAAACTAGCCAGGCGTGGTGTTGGACGCCTGTAATCCCAGCTACTCGGGAGGCTGAGGTGAGAGAATCGCTTGAACCTAATAGGCGGTGGTTGCAGTAACCTGAGATCGTGCCATTGCACTCCAGCCTGGGCAACAGAGCACAAACTCCATCTCAAAAAAAAAAAAAAGAAAGAAAGAAAGGAAAAGTAAGACCAGGTGTGGTGGCTCATGCCTGTAATCCTAGCACTTTGGGAGGCCAAGGCAGGTGGATCACTTGAGGTCAGGAGTTTGAGACCAGCCTGGCCAACATGGTGAAACCCCGTCTCTACTAAAAATACAAAAATTTGCCAGGTGTGGTGGGGTGCTCTTTTAATCCCAGCTACTCGGGAGGCTGAGGCAGGACAATTGCTTGAACCTGGGAGGTGGCGGTCGCAGTGAGCTGAGATTGTGCCACTGCACTCCAGCCTGGGCGACAGAGCGAGACTCTGTCTTTAAAAAAAAAAAAAAAAAACTAAAGAGAAAGTTCAGTCTCCCAGGGGGAATGGATGGCAATGGAGGACAGTGGGACAAACAGAAAAAATAACAGCACCACTGTAAGGGGATGTCGGGTGGAGACAGGAAGGACAAGTGACTCCAATATAGACCAAAACAGAAGATTGGCACAGAAATGGTTGAGAACAAGTCTTGACAGCAAACTCCAGCATCACCACTGTTTTACAAAACATGAACACCATGGTTTAATATTCCTGGGTGTTGTGAGAATTAAATGAGATATGGATATAAGGTTCTTGGGCTTAATAAATTGTAACTATTATTTCATGCTATTAGACAGCATTAGACTATTTTATTTTTTTAGAGACAGGGTTTTGCTGTGTTACCCAGGCTGGAGTACAGTGGCTGATCATAGTTCACTGCAGCCTTGAAATCCTAGGCTCAGGCAATCCTCATGCCTCCACCTCTCAAAGTGCTGGGATTATAGGCGTCAGCCCACTGCACCCAGCAGCATTGTTTAATTTAATTTAACTAATTTATTTATGTATTTATTTTGAGACAGTCTTGCTCTGTTGTCGAGGCTGGAGTGCAGTGGCCTGATCTCGGCTCACTGCAACCTCCACCTCCCAGGTTCAAGTGATTCTCCTGCCTCAGTCTCCAGAGTAGCTGGGACTACAAGCATGCACCACCATGCCTGGCTAATTTTCTTTTTTTTTTTTTTTTTGAGACAGAGCTCCGCTCTTGTTGCCCAGGCCGGGGTGCAATGGCACAGTCTCGGCTCACTGCAACTTCCTTCTCCCAGGTTTAAGTGATTCTCCTGCCTCAGCCTCAGAGACAGGGTTTCTCCCTGTTTGTCAGGCTGGTCTCGAATTCCCAACCTCAGGTGTTCCGCCAACCTCGGCCTGAACAGCTGGGATTACAGGCACACGCCACCACGACGGCTAATTTTGTCTTTTTAGTAGAGACAGGGTTTCTCTCTCTTGGTCAGGCTGGTCCCGACCTCAGGTGTTCCGCCCACCTCGGCCTCCCAAAGTGCTGGGATTACAGGAGTGAGCCACTGCACCTGGACACCTGGCTAACTTTTGTATTTTTAGTAGAGATGAGGTTTCACCATGTAGGCCAGGCTGGCCTTGAACTCCTGACCTCAAGCAATCCTCCTGCCTCAGTTCAGGATTACAGGCATGAGCCACAGTGCCCAGCCTCATTTTAAAAGTAGCTTTGCTCCTGGGCAACTTAGTGAGACCACATCTCTACCAAAAGAAAAAAGCAAAAAAAAAAAGACTAGCCAGGCGTGGTGGTGTGTGCCTGTGGTCCCCGCTACTCAAGAGGCTGAGATGGGAGAATAGCTTGAGCCCGAGAGATTGAGGCTGCAGTGAGCAATGATTGTGCCACTGCACTCCAGCCTGGGTGACTGTCTCTAAAAAATAATAATAATAGGCCAGGTGTGGTGACTCACGCCTGTAATCACAGCACTTTGGGAGGCCAAGGCGAGTGGATCTCCTGAGCTTAGGAGTTCGAGACCACCCAGGGCAACATGGTGAAACCTGGTCTCTACTAAAAATACAAAAAAAAAAAATTAACTGGGCATGGTGGTGGGTGCCTCTAGTCCCATCTCCTCGAGAGGCTGAGGCAGGAGAATCGCTTGAGTCCCAGAGGCGAAGGTTGCAGTGAGCCGAGATCACGCCACTGCACTCCAGCTTGGGCTACAGAGTGAGACTCCGTCTCAAAAACAATAATAACAAAAATAATAATAATAATAAAATAAAAGTAGCTTTGAAGTATCGTGTTTGAGAATCATGATGATTTATTGTAGGTTCAATGAAGAGGACAAGTCCTGCCGTCTGGGATCTCACAGCAGTGTTTTTTCCCTTTTACTACTCCTTGAACCTGCGGCTATGGCATGCTGCTACCACCCGGTGGCAGCAGACCCCAATCACGGGTTCCATTGTTAGGCGAGATGACTCCTTTACAAAGATTATGGACAGAAAGACAAGAAGACATGAGGCACCTCCTGATGGAATGCACAGCACTGTGTATTAGGTAGCCTTGTCAAAAAAATCAAACCTGAATCCAATTAAGGCTCTGGATCCATACCAATTTATAGGAAATACAAGAGAGAAAGGAACATGCTCAACAACATCAGGAGGATGTTGGCAGCAAAATCCACACTGGAAAACTCTACAGAACAAATACCTAGTTTCTTAAAAATAAATAAATAAATAAAAGTAAGGAAAAGAAAAAGCTGAAAGGAGAATCTTCAGGTTAAAAATGACTGAAGAGGCCGGGCATGGTGGCTCACGCCTGTAATCCCAGCACTTTGGGAGGCTGAGGCGAGCAGATCACGAGGTCAGGAGTTCGAGACCAGCCTAACCAACAAGGTGAAACCCTGTCTCTACTAAAAATAGCTGGGCATGGTGGTGCGAGCCTGTAATCCCAGCTACTCAGGAGGCTGAGGCAGGAGAATCACTTGAACCTGGGAGGCAAAGGTTTCAGTGAGCTGAGATGACACCACTGCACTGTAGCCTGGGTGACAGAGCAAGACTCCATCTCAAAAATATATAAATAAATAAAATAAAAAATGACTGAAGAGACATATTAACAAATCACAATAAAAAAGCATTCATGGGACAATCAGGGAAATGTGAATTGACTGGATACTGGATGATACTCAGAAATCACTGTTAGGGCAGGCGCGGTGGCTCCTGCCTGTAGTCCTAGCACTTTGGGAGACCAAGGCGGGCAGATCACAAGGTCAGGAGATCGAGACCATCCTGGCTAACACGGTAAAACCCCGTCTCTACTTAAAATACAAAAAATTAGCCAGGCGTGATGGCTGGCGCCTATAGTCCCAGCTACTCGGGAGGCTGAGGCAGGAGAACGGCGTGAACCCGTGAGGTGGAGGTTGCAGTGAGCCGAGATTGTGCCACTGCACTCCAGCCTGGGCGACAGAGCGAGACTCTGTCTCAAAAAATAAAAAAATAAATAAAAAATAAAAATAATAAAAAAAGAAGTCATTGTTAAACTTTTGAGGCGCTCCTGATGCTATTATGATTATATTTTTCAAAGGAAGCATTCTGAAGTTTTCAATGAGATATGTAATTAAATACACGTAAATCATAGAATGTCCAAGATTTACTTCAAAATCATCTGGGGCAGAGAATGGATAAGAAGATGGAAACAAAGCTGACCAGTAGTTAACAGTTATTAAAGCTGAGTTATGGTATTTGAAAATTATATCTTTGCTACTCAAAATGTCAGCAGACAACCAGCACGGATGTCACCTAAGAGCTTGTTAGAAATGCAGGGCCTGGCAGGGCACAGTGGCTCACGCCTATAATCCCAACACTTTCAGAGGCTGAGGCAGGAGGGTCACTTGAGCCCAGAAGTTCGAGACCAGCCTGGGCAACACGGCGAAACCCTGTCTCTACAAAAAATACAAAAATTAGGCCGGGTGCGGTGGCTCACACCTGTAATCCCAGCACTTTGGGAGGCTGAGGTGGGCGGATCATGAGGTGAGCAGTTTGAGACAAGCCTGGCCAACATAGTGAAACCCCGTCTCTATTTAAAAAAATACAACAATTAGCTGGGTGTGGTGGGCGCCTGTAGTCCCAGCTACTTGGGAGGCTGAGGAAGAGAATCGCTCGAACCCGGGAGGCAGGGGTTGCAGTGAGCTGAGACCACATCATTGCACTCCAGCCTGGGCGACAGAGCAAGACTCCATCTCAAAAAAAAAAAAAAAAAATTAGCCGGGTGTGGTGGCATGCAGTCCCAGCTACTTGGGAGGCTGAGATGGGAGGACTGCTTGAGCCCAGGAAGGCAAGACTGCAGTGAGCAGTGATCGCACCACTGCACTCCACCCTGGGTGACATAGCTAGACTCTGTCTCGAAATAACAACAAAAGAAATGCAGAGCCTCAGGCCCTGCCAAAGACCTGCTGAATCATATCTGAAATTTAAAGAGATCCCTTGGTGATTCGCAGGCACACTAAACTTAAGAAGCCCCAAATTATATTATTCTGGGCCAGGCATGGTGGCTCATGCTTGTAATCCCAGCATATCGGGACGCGGAGGCGGGAGGATCACTTGAGCTCAGGAGTTCAAGACCAGCCTGGGCAATATAATGAGACCTCGTTTCTGTAAATAAATAAATAAATAAATAAAATTGTATTGTTCTGTGGGTTTTTTTTTTTTTGGTGTGTGTGTGTGTGTGTGTTTGTTTTTGTTTGTTTGTTTTTTGAGACGGAGTCTTGCTCTGTCACCCAGGCTAGAGTGCTGGAGTGCAGTGGCGCGATCTCGGCTCACTGCAAGCTCCGCCTCCCGGGTTCACGCCATTCTCCTGCCTCAGCCTCCTGAGTAGCTGGGACTACAGGCACGGCGCCCACCACTATGCCCGGCTAACTTTTTGTATTTTTTAGTAGAGATGGGGTTTCACTGTGTTAGCCAAGATGGTCTCGATCTCCTGACCTTGTGATCCGCCCGTCTCGGCCTCCCAGAGTGCTGGGATTACAGGCGTGAGCCACCGCGCCCGGCTGTGTATGTGTTTTTGAGACAGAGTTATGCTCTTGCCGTCCAGGCTGAAGTACAATGGCACGATCTCAGCAACCTCTGCCTGCCGTGTTCAAGCAATTCTCCTGCCGCAACCACTCGAGTAGCTGGGGATTACAGGCACCCACCACCACGTCCAGCCAATGTTTGTATTTTAGTAGAGACGGGGTTTCACCATGTTGGCCAGGCTAGTCTCAAACTCCTGACCTCAGGTGGTCTGCCCACCTCGGCCTCTGAAAGTGCTGGGATTACAGGTGTGAGCCACCACACCAGGCCTTTTTTTTTTGTGGGGGAGGGGGACGGAGTCTTGTTCTGTTGCCCAGGCTGGAGTGCAATGGTGTGATCTCAGCTCACTGCAACCTCTGTCTCCTGGGTTCAAGCAATTCTCCTGCCTCGGCCTCCTGAGTAGCTGGGATTACAGGCACCGCCCCCATACCCGGCTAATTTTTGGAATTTTAGTAGAGACGGAGTTTCACCATGTTGGCCAGGATGGTCTCAAATTCCTGACCTCAAGTGATCCACCTGCCACGCCTCCCACAGTGCTGGGATTACAGGCATGAGCCACTGTGCCTGGCCATGACAATACATATTAAATATTACATAAAATGTGGTCATCAGATATTGGTTGGAGTGAGTTGGATGAGGTCTGGATAACAAATATTTCTAATTTTCCTATCCGTAATAATTGTATCATAATTGCAGCATGTTTTTGTTAAAAATACAGCACATATTGGCACTTTAAGCTTTGCCAAAAACCTCTGAGGTTTTCATCATTGCAGATCTCAGGGATAGAAAACTGAAGTTTAGAGGGGTCAAATGACTCATCCAAGATCCCACAGCTCTTACATGGAAAAACCAGAACTCAAAACCAGGACTTCTAAGTCTTTGTTTTGGTTTTTTTTGAGATGGAGTCTTGCTGTGTCGCCTAGGCCGAAGTGCAACGGCATAATCTCGGCTCACTGCAAACTCCTTCTCCTTGGTTCAAGCCATTCTCCTGCCTCAGCCTCCCGAGTAGCTGGGATTACAGGCGTGCACCACTACGCCCAGCTACTTTTTGTATTTTTAGTAAAGACAGAGTTTTGCCATGTTGGCTAGGTTGGTCTCGAACTCCTGACCTCAAGTGATCCACCCTCCTCAGCCTCTCAAAGTGCTGGGATTACAGGTGTGAGCCACCGTGCCCAGTGATTGGCCAGAACTTCTAATTCGAAAGCCCGTCTTTTGGTACCACTACATCATATGTCTAGGAATTGAAATGAGTCCTAGGCATTTGTGGTTTGTTTTTATGTAATTTGGACTTAGTTTTAGTCTTATATATCTATTTTAAGAAGTTTCTTCTTCTAACCCAGCATGTTAGGCCACAGTTACTTTTGCTTCCCCTTTGAGCTCTACTGACATTCTGCTGGGAAAATAATGCTGCACTAGCTGTAAATCTTATTCTGGAGAAATGATCTCGACCCTTGATTCCCCTCCCCGCCCCCCAGACATTGTCTTGCTCTGTCGCCCAGGCTGGAGTGCAGTGGCATGATCTTGGCTCATGGCAACCTCCGCCTCCTGGGTTCAAGCAATTCTCCTCCCTCAGCCTCCTGAGTAGCTGGGATTATAGGCACATGCCACCACATCCAGCTAATTTTTGTATTTTTAGTAGAGACGGGGTTTCATTACATTGCCAGGCTGGTCTCAAACTCCTGACCTCATGATCCGCCCATCTCGGCCTCTCAAAGTGTTGGGATTACAGACACGAGCCACTGCGCCTGGCCTCAACCCTTGATTTATCTCATCCATAGGATTTTGAAACTTTAGGACTAAAATGACTGAGACGTGGGAATAGTATCAGTGATTCATGAATTTGTTTGTACATTGAAATACCTGGGGAACTTTTACAATTCTTGATGGCCAGGTCACATCCCAGACCAATTAAACTAGAATCTGTGAAGCAGGGACCCAGCCACAGGTATGTTTATAAAGTGCTCTAGACAATCTGAATGCACAGCCTAGTTTGAGAGCCAGTCATCTAATGATTCTCAGTAGACACAATGCTACCATCTGGGTAATATTTTAGAAATTTGTGGGCAAATTTTGATTGTCAAAGTACTAAGAATGGCTGAAATAAAAAATAGTGATGATGCCAAGAGCTGGTGAGGATGCAGAGACTCTGAGTCACTCATACTTTGCTGGATGGGACGTAAAATGGTACAGCCGCTCTGAAAAATACTTGGGCTGTTTCTTCTTCCTTTTCTTTTTTCTTTTTTTTGAGACGGAGTGTCACTCTGTTGCCCAGGCTGGAGTGCAGTGGTGCGATCTCAGCTCACTGCAACCTCCGCCTCCCGGGTTCAAGCAATTCTCCTGCCTCAGCCTCCTGAGTAGCTGGGATTACAGGCGCGCGGCACCATGCCTGGCTAATTTTTGTATTTTTAGTAGAGATGGAGTTTCACCATGTTGGTCAGGCTGGCCTCGAACTCCTGACCTCGTGACCTGCCTGCCTCAGCCTCCCAAAGTGCTGAAATTACAGGCATGAGCCACCCTGCCCGGCCAGGGCTGCTTTTTTTTTACCACCCAAAATGGACTTAACATATGACTCAGCAATTTCACTCTTGGTCATTTTTCTCACATAAAATTTTTTTTCACACACAAGCTCGTAATAGTGTTCACAGCAGCTTTATTCATAATAGCCAAACACTGTAAATTATCTAAAGGTGTTTTTTTTTTTTGAGACAGAGTGTCACTCTCACTCAAGCTGGAGTGCACTGGCATGATTTCAGCTCACTGCAACCTCCGCACCCCCAAGCTCAGGTGATCCTCTCACCTTAATCTTCTGAGTAGGTGAGACTACAGGTGTGAACCACCAAGCCTGGCTAATTTTCATTTTTCTGTAGAGACGGGGGTTTGCCATGTTGCCCAGGCTTGTCTTAAACTTCTGGGCTCAAGTGATCCTGCCTGCCTTGGCCTCCCGAAGTGTTGGGATTACAGGCATGAGCAACCACGCCCAGCCTCTAAATGTCTTTCAGTAAATAAATGGCTGAACTGCGGAACATTCAAACCATGGACTACTACGCAGCAATCAAAGTGAATGAGCTATTAACACATACAACTTGGATGAACCTCAAGTGAATCATACTAAGTAAAAATAGCCAATTGGAGGTTGCGATGAGCCCAGATCGCACCATTGCACTCCAGCCTGGGCAACAAGAGCGAAACTCCATCTCAAAAAACAAACAAACAAACAATAATAATAATAATAAAAATGCCAATCTAGGTAGGGCTGGGCGAGGTGGCTCATGCCTGTAATCCCAGCACTTTGGGAGGCCGTGGCGGGCGGATCACCTGAGGTCGGGAGTTCAAGACCAGCCTGACCAATGTGGAGAAACCCTGTCTCCTCCATAAATACAAAATTAGCTGGGCATGGTGGCACATGCCTGTAATTCCAGCTACTCAGGAGGCTGAGGCAGAAGAATCGCTTGAACCTGGGAGGCAGAGGTTGTGGTGAGCCGAGATTGCGCCATTGCACTCCAGCCTGGGCAACAAGAGCGAAACTCCATCTCAAAAAAAAAACATTCTTTCCTTCATGTTAACTTTAGATAACCTGACAACAATGTGCCTTGGAGATGATCCTTTTTTTTTTTTTTTTTTTTAAAGACAGAGTCTTACTCTGTTACCCAGGCTAGAGTGCAGTGGCACGATCTCAGCTCATTGCAACCTCCACCTCCTAGGTTCAAGCGATTTTCCTGCCTCAGCCTCCTGAGTAGCTGGGACTACAGTCATGCACCACGACACTGGCTAATTTTTGTATTTTTAGTAGAGATGGGGTTTCTCCATATTGGTCAGGCTGGTCTCGAACTCCCAACCTCAGGTGATCTGCCTGCCTCAGCCTCCCAAAGTGCTGGGATTACAGGCATGAGCCACCGCGCCTGGCCATTTTTTTTTTTTTTTTTTTTTTTTTGGTGATGATCTTTTTGCGATGAATTTCCCAGGTGTTCTTTGAGCTTCTTGTATTTGGATGTCTAGGTTTCTAGCAAGGCTGGGGAAGTTTTCCTTGATTATTCCCCCAAATATGTTTTCCAAATTTTTAGATTTCTCTTCTTCCTCAGGAACGCCGATTATTCTTAGGTTTGGTCGTTTAACATAATCCTAGACATCTTGGAGGCTTTGTTCATATTTTCTTATTCTTTTTTCTTTGTCTTTGTTGAATTGGGTTAATTTGAAAACCTTGTCTTCGAGCCCTGAATTCTTTCTTCTGCTTGTTCGATTCTATTGCTGAGACTTTCCAGAGCATTTGCATTTCTATAAGTGCATCCATTGTTTCCTGAAGTTTTGATTGTTTTTTATTTATGCTATCTTTTTCACTGAAGATTTCTTCCTTCATTTCTTATATCTTTTTTTGATTTCCTTAAATTGAGCTTTGCCTTTTTCTGGTGCCTCCTTGATTAGCTTAGTAACTGACCTTCTGAATTCTTTTTCAGGTAAATCAAGGATTTCTTCTTGGTTGGATCCATCGCTTCTGAGCTGGTGTGATTTTTGCAGAGTGTTGAAGAACTTGTTTTGTCATATTACCAGAGTTGGTTTTCTGGTTCCTTCTCATTGGTGTAGGCTTTGTCAGAGGGAAGGTCTAGGGATCAAGGCTGTTGTTCGGGTTCTTTTGTCCCATGGGGTGTTCCCTTGATGTGGTACTCTCCCCATTTTCCTAGGGATGTGGTTTCCTGATAGTAGAACTGTAGTGATTGTTATCTCTCTTCTGGATCTAGCCACCCAACAGGTCTACCAGGCTCCTGGCTAATACTGGGGGTTGTCTGCACAGAGTCATGTGATGTGACCATCTGTAGGTCTCTCAGCCATGGATACCAACACAGTATTTAGGGTGTCTCCCAGGTCCTGCAGGAGCAATCTGCTTCCTTCCTAGGGTCTGTGGGTTCTCTCAGCTTTCCTGATCTATTCCTGCAGTACTTCTGGAGCAAAAGTTCACGATGCGAGAGGCTGCACACTGCTCTGTCCGTCCAAGTGGGAGCTGCAATCTAGTCCTGCCTCCCCACTGCCATGATCCCTCCCTACTCGACAGTTGTGTATCTTGATTATAATGGTAATTATACAAAGCTAGGCATGTGGTAATGTTATATAAAGCAAGACACATACACACACACTAATGACTGCAAGTATAATGGGTGAAGTCTGAACAAGTGATGAGGATTATACCAATGTTGGTTTCCTATCTGAATAGGCTCTGTGCATTGTACCAATGTTGATTTCCTGGTTTTGATATTGCACTGTAGCCATGGAAGATATTAACATTGAGGGAGAATGGAGTGAAGGGTGCAGTGGAACTTCCTGGACATTTCTTTGGAAGTTCCTGTGAATCTATAATTATTCCCCCCAAAAAATGTTTACAAAATATTGAGACGCTATAAGCACGTAATGGGGGAGGGCAGGGATGCCACACTCTCTTCATAGCAAATAATTGCTTTGTGTCTTTTAGGATTTTCCACTGTATCACCAGAGATTCCTGTAAGATAAAAATCTGTTTATAATGATCTGAGCTGATTCTGTTTTACATACACGCCCCCACTCCACATACACACAAAGAGAAGTATTTTTGCATGGTTTTAACATTCACCGAATTTTCCAGGAACCAAACTGCTGTGTAAATGTAAGAAAAATGTACTTTGTTTGGTTGGGAACCTTACCAAGTGTTGTTGACCATTTTGGGAAATCAAATTGTTTTTGGCCATGCATCTACTAGAATGTGAGTGTCAGTACAACCTTCCTGGGTCACTACATTTGTAATTGCAAATGCACATGCAGGCCAGCGTGGTGGCTCACGCCTGTCATCCCAGCACTTTGGGAGGCTGAGGCAGGCAGATCACTTGAAGTCAGGAACTCAAGACCAGCCTGGCCAACATGGTGAAACCCCGTCTCTAGTAAAAATACAAAAATGAGCCGGACATGGTGGCACATGCCTATAATCCCAGGTACTCAGGAGGCTGAGGCAGAATTGCTTGAACCTGGGAGGTGGAGGTTGCAGTAAGCCAAGATCGTGCCACTGCACTCCAGCCTGGGAGCAGAGTGAGACTCCATCTCAAACAAACAACAAAAAACAAATGCACATGCAAGTAGGTAACAGAGAAGATTCAAAACTCCTTTTAACAGACTTAGAACCAAATACCAATTATTAAATTGGCAGAGTAATGACATGGAAATACCATTAAATTTCGTTAGTAAGGGTTATTTTATGAAAAGCTAATGTTTTTGCCACGTTATAATTTTGACACAATGCTAAAAAATATTATTGAAATGTACTTATTAAACCATTTAGTTAAGTTTTCCATGTATTTCAACTTTGATACATTTCCCATGGGTCTTCATCACAATTTCTCTCTAGCAGTGCTATCCCATAGGAATATAATGCAAGCCATATTATAATTTTAAATTTTCTTTCTTTCTTTTTTTTTTTTTTGAGATGGAGTCTCCCTCTGTCGCCCAAGCTGGCATGCAGTGGCACGATCTTGGCTCACTGCAACCTCCGCCTCCTGGGTTCAAACTTTAAATTTTCTAGTAGCCATATTAAAAAGTTTTCTTTAAAAGGTGAATTAATTTTGATATTTTATTTAACCCAATAGATACATAATATGATTTCAACACGTAATCACTTAGAAAAAAAAAATTGTTTTTGAGATAAAATCTCACTTTGTCGTCCAGGTTGGCGTACAGTGGTACAAATACAGCTCACTGCAGTCTCAAACTCCTGGGCTCAGGTGATCCTCCCCACTCAGCATACTGATTAGCTGGGACCAGAGGTATGTGCCACCATGCCCAGCTGATTTAAAAAAATATATTTGTAGATATGAGCCCAGGTTGGTCTCAAACTTCTGAGCTCAAGCAATCCTCCTGCCTCAGGTTCCCAAAGTGCGGGGATTACAGGTGTGAGCCACCGTGTCTGGCAGAAAAAATTATTAATGAAGTATTCTATATTTTTTTATTTTTATTTTATTAATTTTTTTTTGGAAAGGGAGTTTTGCTCTTGTTGCCCAGGCTGGAGTACAATGGCGGGATCTCAGCTCACCACAACCTCAGCCTCCCTGGTTCAAGTGATTCTCCTGCCTCAGCCTCCTGAGTAGCTGGGATTACAAGCATATGCCACCATGCCTGGCTAATTTTGTATTTTTAGTAGAGACGGGATTGCTCCATGTTGGTCAGGCTGGTCTCAAACTCCCGACCTCAAGTGATCTGCCCTCCTCAGCCTCCCAAAGTGCTGGGATTACAGGCGTGAGCCACCATGCCTGGCCTATACTTTTCTTTTCTTCCTTCCTTTCTTTTTTTTTTTTGAGATGGAGTCTCGCTCTGTCGCCCAGGCTGGAGTGCTGTGGCGCAATCTCGGCTCACTGCAGCAAGCTCCACCTCCCGGGTTCACGCCATTCTGCCTCAGCCTCCCTAGTAGCTGGGACTACAGGCGCCCGCCACCACACCCGGCTAATTTTTTGTATTTTTAGTAGACATGGGGTTTCACCATGTTAGCCAGGATGTTCTTGATCTCCTGACTGGTGATCCACCAGCCTCGGCCTCCCAAAGTGCTGAGATTACAGGCGTGAGCCACCGCACCCGGCCGCCTATTCTTTTTTATATTAAGTGTTTGAAATTGGAGCCGGGTGCGGTGGCTCACGCCTGTAATCCCAGCACTTTGGGAGGCTGAGGCGAGCGGGTCACCTGAGGTCAGGAGTTCGAGACCAGCCTGACCAACATGGAGAAACCTCATCTCTACTAAAAATACAAAATTACCCGGGCGTGGTGGAACTTGCCTGTAATCCCAGTTACTAGGGAGGCTGAGGCAGGACAATCGCTTGAACCTGGGAGGTGGAAGTTGTGGTGAGGTGAGATCATGCCATTGCAGTCCAGCCTGGGCAACAAGAGCAAAACTCCGCCTCAAAAAAAAAAAAAAGGAAAAAAAAAAAAGAAATTGGATATGTGCTTTACACTTATAACACAACTCAATTTAGACTAGCTTTGCTCAATAGCCATATATGGCCAGTAGTTACTATATTAGACAGCATAGTTCCATAGCTTTATATATTTATCCATCTTCTCCTTTGACCTATCAAGAGATACAGTCTCTTAAATCTATTTTTTTTTTTTTTGAGATGGTCTCTCACTCTGTCACCAGGTTGGAGTGCAGTGGTGCTATCTCGGCTCACTGCAACCTCTGCCTCCCGGGTTCAAGCGATTCTCCTGCCTCAGCCTCCCGAGTAGCTGGGACCACAGGCATGCACCACCATGCCTGGCTAATTTTTGTATTTTTAGTAGAGATGAGGTTTTACTGTGTTGGTCAGGCTGGTCTCAATCTCTTGACCTCGTGATCCACCCACCTCGGCCTCCCAAATTGCTGGGATTACAGGCGTGAGCCACCGCGCCCAGCTTAAAACTTTTTAATTAATAGATACTCAATATATGCCTCTACATAAGGTAGAATTTTAAAATAGGAGACTTGGGTGTTATATTATCCTTATGTTTGTGAAAACAAATGGAAATATCATACTTTCTCATTTTTTTCAATTTGACATCTAAAATTTGCTTTGGTACGTGCTACCCCTCCTTCAATTAAATGTTTTTTTCCTTAGCTGGGTGCCTGTAGTCCCAGCTACATGGGAGGCTGAGGCAAGAGGATCGCTTGAGCCCAGGAGTTGCAGGCTGCAGTGAGCTATGACTGCACCACTGCACCCCAGCCTGAGCAACAGAGCGAGATCCTGTCTCTAAAAATAATAAAATAGGCCGGGCGTGGTGGCTCACACCTGTAATCCCAGCACTTTGGGAGGCCGAGGTGAGTGGATCACGAGGTCAGGAGTTCAAGACCATCCTGAGCAACATGGTGAAACCCCGTCTCTACTAAAAATACAAAAATTAGCCACGCATGGTGGTGCACACCTGTAATCCCAGCTACTCAGGAGGCTGCGGCAGAAGAATCTCTTGAGCCTGGGCGGCAGAGGCTGCAGTGAGCCAAGATCATGCCACTGCACTCCAGCCTGGACTACAGAGCAAGATTCCGTCTCAAAAAATAAATAAATAAAAATAAAAATAATAAAATGTAGATTTAAAAAAATACCCCGGATGCGTTTGTGCCACTGCATGCCAGCATGGTGACAGAGCGAGACTCAGTCTCAAAAAAAAAAAAGAACCGCAGGCCTCAGCAGGCCTCGAGGCTAAGACTGGACTCCATGCCAACACATCCATTGCAGCTGGGAAACTGGCCTACAAAAGGAATTCTGGAGAAAGACCTGCCAAGCCCATTTGTTCAGCCTTATGAAATTCTTCTGACCACTCCCATGGTTGTACTTTGTGCAGACCACCCACATGGATACACATATCTCATTGCAGGCCTGCCTGGAGACAAGCCACAGCCACATGAAAACCACCAAAACAAGGCACTCGTGAATCCTTGGCAAGTCGCAGGTACCAGTTAGGAACACAATAGCCTGGAAGGGA
This sequence comes from Homo sapiens, assembly GCF_000001405.40. Classification (NCBI taxonomy): domain Eukaryota; kingdom Metazoa; phylum Chordata; class Mammalia; order Primates; family Hominidae; genus Homo; species Homo sapiens. Next base: position 36,543,929 of record NC_000009.12, on the reverse strand, counting down.
ACTCCTAAGTTTTCACTGTTCTGTGGTGACATTAGCTTGGAAAAAGAAGTAACATTCATAACTAAGAGATGCCACAGTAAAGTATTCTTGGAGAACTGTGTGATAGAGGATGAATAACCCTAGGACTAACCCCCTGAATTGGGAAAATGCTGAGCAAACCTTGACTGTAGGATTCCCTGTAACAGTGGCTTGCTGCTGCCTACCAGCAAGGTCTTGCTTGCCCCCACTCACCTTCTCCATCATATAGTGATGATGAACAGCAATAATCCATAGCAAGGCATATTCATGCCATATGAATGCATAAGTACCAACAGGTGGATTTGTTCACCCATAGAGGAAGAATACAGTGAGGAAAGCAGCCCATCTGGAATAAATCAGTGCTGCATAGCTGCCCGCCTTGGCCTCCCAAAGTGCTGGGATTACAGGCGTGAGCCAACGTGCCCGGCCTATTTTATTATTATTATTATTATTATTATTGAGACAAAATCTCGATTCATCGCCCAGGCTAGAATGCAGTGGCGTGATCTTGGCTAACTGCAACCTCTGCCTCCCGGGTTCAAGTGATTCTTGTGTCTCACCCTCCCAAGTAGCTGGGATTACAGGCACTCGCCACCACATCAGCCAATTTTCTTTTTTTTTTTTTGAGACGGAGTCTTGCCCTGTCGTGCAGGCTGGAGTGCAATGGCATGATCTTGGCTCACTGCAACCTCTGCCTTACAGGTTCAAGTGATTCTCCTGTTCCAGCTTCCTGAGGAGCTAGGATTACAGGCACCCGTCATCATGCCGGCTAATTTTTGTTTTTGTTTTTGTTTTTTTGAGACGGAGTCTCGTTCTGTCGCCCAGGCTGGAGTGCAGTGGCGCGATCTCGGCTCACTGCAAGCTCCGCCTCCCGGGTTCACGCCATTCTCCTGCCTCAGCCTCCGAGTAGCTGGGTTTACAGGCGCCCGCCACCACGCCCTGCTAATTTTTTTTGTATTTTTTTAGTAGAGACGGGGTTTCACCGTGTTAGCCAGGATGGTCTCGATCTCCTGAACACGTGATCCACCCGCCTTGGCCTCCCAAAGTGCTGGGATTACAGGCTTGAGCCACTGCGCCCGGCTAATTTTTGTGTTTTTGTAGAGACAGGGTTTCACCATGTTGGCCAGGCTGGTCTCGGACTCCTGACCTCAGGTGATCTGCCTGCCTCGGCCTCCCAATGTGCTGGCATTACAGGCGTGAGCCACCACGCCTGGCCACAAATTTCTTCTTCAAGAAATGAGACTTTATTTCAGGCTGGGCGCTATGCACAGTCACAGGAAATTCAGGCTGCTATCGAAGGTTCTACCTGCTGAGCTTCTCAAGCTCCTCTGTGCATTAGCACCACTAGGAGGGCCTGTTGCAATGCTGACTGTTGGGCTCCACTCCCAAAGTTCCTGATTCCGTGAGTCTGGGACAAAGCTAGAGAATTTACACTTCAAACAAGCTTCCAGGTGATGGTGATGCTGCAAGTCTGGGAACAAGACTTTGGGAACCAGGAGCCTAGATTTATCTATCACACAGCCATTTATTACTTGCGGCTTTAACCAGGAAGGGGGTCAGCCCTCTACATTCAGATTACCCAAACAAATTAAAAGTTCTGTTATTTACTACTATTTAGTCTTTATCTCCCAGGGAAAGTGGGTAGACAGGGTTCATTCTTAGTGAAAGACTCATAATATCTATGCATCCCTCAATTCCCCAATTCTTCTCCTTCCCCATTCAGAGAATTTTTTTTTATATATATACTTTAAGTTCTAGGGTACAAGTGCACAATGTGCAGGTTTGTTACATATGTATACATGTGCCCTGTTGGTGTGCTGCACCCGTTAACTCGTCATTTACATTAGGTATATCTCCTAATGCTATCCCTCCCTGCTCCCCCCACCCCATGACAGGCCCCGGTGTGTGATGTTCCCCACCCTGTGTCCAAGTGTTCTCATTGTTCAATTCCCACCTATGAGTGAGAGCATGCAGTGTTTGGTTTTCTGTCCTTGCGATAGTTTGCTCAGAATGATGGTTTCCAGCTTCATCCAAGTCCCTACAAAGGACATGAACTCATCCTTTTCTATGGCTGCATAGTATTTCATGGTGTATATGTGCCACATTTTCTTAATCCAGTCTATCACTGATGGACATTTGGGTTGGTTTCAAGTCTTTGCTATTGTGAATAGTGCCGCAATAAACATATGTGTGCATGTGTCTTTATAGCAGCATGATTCATAATCCTTTGGGTATATACCCAGTAATGGGTTGGCTGGGTCAAATGGTATTTCTAGTTCTAGATCCTTTTTTTGTTTTGTTTTGAGACGGAGTCTCGCTCTGTCCCCCAGGCTGGAGTGCAGTGGCATGATCTCAGCTCACTGCAAGCTCCATCTCCCGGGTTCACGCCATTCTCCTGCCTCAGCCTCCCAAGTAGCTGGGACTACAGGCACCTGCCACCACGTCTGGCTAATTTTTTGTATTTTCAGTAGAGACGGGGGTTTCACCATGTTAGCCAGGATGGTCTCGATCTCCTGACCTCGTGATCCACCCGCCTCGGCCTCCAAAAGTGCTGGGATTATAGGTGTGAGCCACCGCGCCCGGCCTCTAGTTCTAGATCCTTAAGGAATCGCCACACTATCTTTCACAATCATTGAACTAGTTTACAGTCCCACCAACAGTGTAAAAGTGTTCCTATTTCTCCACATCCTCTCCAGCACCTGTTGTTTCCTGACTCAGAGAATCTTTATCTAAACCACAGGGCAGCAAATCTATTCCATAAAGATCCAAATAGGGTTGGGTGCGGTGGCTCATGCTTGTAATCCCAGCAGTTTGAGAGGCTGAGGTGAGCAGATCACCTGAGGTCGGGAGTTTGAGACCAGCCTGACCAACATGGAGGAACCCCGTCTCTTCTAAAAATACAAAATTAGCCGGGCGTGGTGGTACGTATGCCTGTAATCACAGCTACTCGGGAGGCTGAGGCAGGAGAATCGCTTGAACCAGGAGGCAGAGGTTGTGGTGAGCCGAGATCAAGGCATTGTGCTCCAGTCTGGGCAACAAAAGCAAAACTCTGACTCAAAAAAAAAAAAAAATACTTGGGGCTCTAACCAGGAAGCGGGTCAGCCCTCTGCATTCAGATTACCCAAACAAATTAGAAGTTCTGTTATTTACTACTATTTAGTCTTTATCTCCCAGGGCTTGGCTTAGTGGGAAAGTGGGTAGACGGGGCTCATTCTTAGTGAAAGACTCGATCTATGCATTCCTCAATTCCCCAATTCTTCTCTTCTCCCATTCAGAGAATCTTTATCTAAATCACAGGGCAGCAAATCTATTCCATAAAGATCCAAATAGGGTTGGGTGAGGTGGCTCATGCCTGTAATCTCAGCATTTGGGAGGTCAAAGTGGGAGGATCTCTGGAGCCCAGGAGTTGAGACCAGCCTGGGCAATATAGTGAAACCCCAAAAAAATCTGAATAGTGGATATTTCAGGTTTTGTGGGCCATGAAGTTTCTGTTATAATTACTCAATTCTGCATTTGTATGCAAAAGCAATGATAAAGAATAAGTAAATGAACAAGCATGGCTGTCTTCAAATAAAAAATGTATTTATGGACACTGAAATTTGATTTTCATGTAATTATTATTACTCTCATTTTGATTTTCTTCATTAATTTAAATATATTAGAACCATTCTTAGCTCTCAGGCTTTACAAAAAACAGGCAATAGACTGGATCTGGCCCACAGGAAGGATGTGGCCTACTAGTCATAGTTTGCTGACCCCTGGCCCTACATCATAATCTCTGTACAACCTTTTTCAAATTTGAAATCTGGCTTTTTGGGGATAGAACTTGGAAGCAAATTACAAGTACATGAGATGTCTCCATATCAGCTTAAGACAATAAATAAAGAGGACTCTTACATCTCATTTTAACTGCTGGGTAAATGTGTCTAGAACTATGATAGCTAAATTCTTATTTCAAACATGATTATTATAGATGAGATGGGGCCTTGAGAAAATTATAGAGACTGGATAGTGATCATCAGGGTCTACATTCTAAAGTTTTTGTTGTTGTTGTTGTTTGTTTTTTGAGATGGAGTCTTGCTCTTGTCACCCAGGCTGGAGTGCAATGGCATGATCTCGGCTCACTGCAACCTCTGCCTCCCAGGTTCAAGCAATTTTCCTGCCTCAGCCCCTCCCGAGTATCTGGGATTACAGGCACCTGCCACCATGCCTGGCTAATTTTTGTATTTTTAGTAGAGATGGGGTTTCGGCATGTTGGCCAGGCTGGTCTCAAACTCCTGAACTTGTGATCCGCCCACCTTGGCCTCTCAGAGTGCTGGGATTACAGGCGTGAGCCACTGCGCCTGGCCACATTCTATAGTTTGATACTTGATGTTGATAAAGAGCTAAAAATCTTCAGCTCCCCCAGTTTATCTATGTGGGAAAAAAAACACCTAATTTAAAGTTTGGTTTAAATTAACTTGATAGTTTCACAAAATAGCATAGCATATGCTTAATAATCAGTGAATGTCCTTCCAGAACAGTGATTTTCAACTTTCACTGCATATTACAATCACCTGGAAAGCTTTTACAATTCCAAATGCCCAGACTGAACGTCCACCAATTAAACCAGAATTTGGGACCAAGAATTCCCCAGGTGGTTCTTATTAGCATCCAGGGTTATAAATCACTACTGTAGTGTAAGATTCAGGAGTTCTGCTCTTTGCCCAGGTGCGCTGTGTTGTGCCCAACACCAAAAGACCCGATTTGCAACACTTGTATAGTCCTGTGTAGCCTAACTCCTAAGTAGGTGCAGATCCTTCGAATTATAGACACCTGGCCTTTCTTCCTGCCTTGAACCTGTATGCCAGGGCATGTGAATTCAAGATGGGCTTCTGGGTTCTGTATACGTCACCTTGGCAACAAAGTAGGCTCCAAGTACAAATCAATGAGAAAGACAGTAAAGGACGTGAACAGACACTTCACAAAAGAAGATATATAAATAAGCACATAGAGGCCGGGCGCAGTGGCTCACGCCTGTAATCCCAGCACTTTGGGAGGCCGAGGCAGGCGGATCATGAGGTCAGGAGATCGAGACCATCCTGGCTAACACGGTGAAACCCCGTCTCTATTAAAAATACAAAAAATTAGCCAGGCGTGGCGGCAGGCGCCTGTAGTCCCAGCTACTTGGGAGGCTGAGGCAGGAGAATGGCATGAACCCGGGAGGTGGAGCTTGCAGTGAGCCAAGATCACGCCACTGCCCGCTAGCCTGGGCGACAGAACGAGACTCCACTCTGTCTAAAAAAAAAGAAAAGAAAGGAGCAGGGGAATGACAGAATTTTTGGAGTGACAGAAATGTATCAGGTCCTGGAAGACCATAATTTTGTACAATGTGGCTCACTTATAAATTTTTTTTTTTTTTGAGACAAGGTCTCTCTTTGTCACCCAGGCTGGGGTGCAGTGGCCTGATCACAGCTCACTGCAGCCTCGACAATCAAGGCCTCAAGTGATCCTCCCACCTCAGCCTCCCGAGTAGCTGGGACTATAGGCACAGGCCACCACACCCGGGTAATTTTTGTATATTTTGTACAGACAGGATCTCACTATGTTGCCCAGGCTGATCTTGAACTCCTGAAATCAAGCGATCCTCCCACCTTAGCCTCCCAAAGTGCTGGAAATATAGAGGCATGAGCCACTGAGCCTGGCCTGGTTTCCTTATAACTTAGATGAGGGAAAAAAAAAGAAAAGCTTCCCGGCAGGGGCCCTGCCTGTGTGGAATTTGCACACTCTCCCATGTCTGTGTGGGTTTCCTTCAGGTACTGTGGTTTCCTCCCACATCCCAAAGCAAATGCTGTTGATTAATCAGCGTGGGTTCATTGCATGTCTAAATTGTCTTGGTCTGAGTGAGTGTGGGTGTGTGTGCAGGTGTGTGTGAGAGTGTGCTCTACAACAGGATAGTGTCCAGTCCAGGGCAGGTTCCAGCCCTGTGCTATGACCTGCCGAGCTAGGCTCTGGCTACCCGCAACCTTGAACTGGAATAAGTGGGTTAGAAAATGAATAAATGGGCCAGGAGCAGTGGCTCACACCTGTAATCCCAGCACTTTGGGAGGCCAAGGCAGGCGGATCACGAGGTCAGGAGATCGAGACCACAGTGAAACCCCATCTCTACTAAAAATACAATAAATTAGCAGGGCAGGGTGGCAGGTGCCTGTAGTACCAGCTACTCGGGAGGCTGAGGCAAGAGAATGGCGTGAACCCAGGAGGTGGAGCTTGCAGTGAGCCAAGATCGCGCCACTGCACTCCAGCCTGGGTGACAGAGCGAGACTTCGTCTCAAAAAAAAAAAAAAAAGAAAAGAAAATGAATAAATGAATGCAAATTTTTGTACAATAAAAAATTCATAAAGTATACAACAATCACACAGATGTGTGACAATAAATGATATAGTATGAAAGTATTCAGCGAGGCCGGGCGTGGTGGCTTACGCCTATAATCCCAGCACTTTTGGAGGCCGAGGCGGGTGAATCACGAGGTCAGGAGTTTGAGACCAGCCTGGCCAATATGGTGAAACCCCGTCTCTACTAAAAATACAGAAAATTAGCTGAGTGTAGTGGCAGGCACCTGTAATCCAGTGACTCAAGTGGCTGAGGCAGGAGAATCACTTGAAACCGGGATGCAAAGTTTGCAGTGAGCTGAGATCGCGACTGTACACCAGGCGACAGAGTGAGACTCCGTCTCCAAAAAAAAAAAAAAAAGAAGAAACTACTTAGCAAGCCGACCATATTTGTGATTGTTTTTGAACTGCATGATTGTAGGAAGCACTCCTTACAATTTTCCCTTTCTAAGCATTTATTCCATGACTTAACCCACCACCACTACAACTGCCATCACTCAGATATACCAAAACTTGGGTAAATAATTATCTTTCTTGTTTATATTGATCTTTTCCGAGCTCACATTTATTTCCATTTCTACTATTGGAAGTGATTTGGGATTTGGGGCTGGGCACAGTGGCTCACGCCTGTAATCTCAGCATTTTGGAAGGCCAAGGCAGGTGGATCACATGAGGTCAGGAGTTCGAGACCAGCCTGGCCAACGTGGTGAAACCCTGTCTCTACTAAAAATACAAAAATTAGCCAGGCATGGTGGCACACACCTGAAATCCCAGCTACTCAGGAGGCTGAGGTGGGAGAATCACTTGAACCCCAGAGGTGGAGGTTGCTGTGAACTGAGATTGTGCCATTGCACTCCAGCCTGGGTGACAGAGACTCCCTCTCAGAAAAAAAAAAAAAAAAAAAGAAGTGATTTGGGTCTTTCAAGGTAGCTCACACCATGGGTGGCTCACCCAAAGTACTCCCAGCACTTTGGGAGGCCGAGGCAGGTGGATCACCTGAGGTCAGAAGTTTGAGACCAGCCTGACCAACATGGCGAAACCCTGTCTCTACTAAAAATACAAAAATTAGCTGGGTGTGGTGGTGTGCACCTGTAGTCCCAGCTACTCAGGAGGCTGAGGCAGGAGAATTGCTTGAATTGGGGATGCAGAGGTTGCAGTGAGCTGAGATTGTGCCACTGCACTCCCGCCTGGACGACAAAGTGAGACCCCATCTCAAAAAAAAAAAAAAAAAAAAAAACCAGCGTGGGAAAGACTTGCCCCCATGACTCAATTACTTCCCACTGGGTCCTTCCCACAACACATGGGAATCCAAGAAGAGATTTGGGTGGGGACACAGCCAAACATATCATTCCACACCTGGCCCCTCCCAAATCTCATGTCTTCACATTTCAAAACCCATCATGCCTTCTCAACAGTCCGCCAAAGTCTTAACTCATTTCAGCATTAACTTAAAAGTTCATGGTCCAAAGTCTCGTCTGAGGTGGACCTTCCTGCCTCGTCTGAGGCAAGTCCCTTCCACCTATGAGCCTGTAAAATTAAAAAGCAGGTTAGTTACTTCCTAGATACAATGGGGGTACAGGCATTGGGTAAATACAGCCATTCCAAATGGGAGAAATTGGCCAAAACAAAGGGGCTACAGGCCCCATGCAAGTCAGAAATCCAGCAGGGCAGTCAAATCTTAAAGCTCCAAATTGATCTCCTTTGACTCCATGTCTTACATCCAGGTCATGTTGATGCAAGAGGTGGGTTCCTATGGTCTTGGGAAGCTCTGCTTCTGTGGCTTTGCAGGGTATAGCTTCCCTTCCGGCTGCTTTCACCAACTGGCTTTGAGTGTCTGTGGCTTTTCCAGGTGCACAGTGCAAGCTGTTTGTGGATCTACCATTCTGGGGTCTAGAGGATGGTGGCCCTCTTCTCAAAGCTCCACTAGGCAATGCTCCAGTAGGGACTCTGTGTGGGGGCTCTGACCCCACATTTCCCTTCCTCGCTGCCCTAGCAGAGGTTCTCCATGAGGGCCCGTCCGTGCAGCAAATTTCTGCCTAGACATCCAGGTGTTTCCATACATCTTCTGAAATCTAGGTGGAGGTTCCCAAACCTCAATTCTTGACTTCTGTGTACCCGCAGACTTGACACCACATGGAAGCTGCCAAGCCTTGGGGTGTCCACCCTCTGAAGCCTTTTTCCTCCTAGGCTCTTGGGCCTGTGATGGGTGGGGCTTCCCTGAAGACCTCTGTCATGCCCTGGAGATGTTTTCCCCATTGTCCTGGAGATTAACATTCTGCTCCTTGTTACTTATGCAAATTTCTGCAGCTAGCTTGAATTTCTCCTCAGAAAATGGTATTTTCTTTACTATTGGATTGTCAGACTGCAAATTTTATGAATTTTAATGCTCTGCTTCCCTTATAAAACTCAGTGCAGGCTGGGTGCAGTGGCTCACGCCTGTAATCCCAACACTTTGGGGGACCGAGGGGGTTGGATCACCTGAAGTCAGGAGTTTGAGGCCAGCCTGGCCACCATAGTGAAACCCCATCTCTACTAAAAATAAAAATCAGCTGGATGTGGTGGTGGGCGCCTGTAATCCCAGCTACTTGGTAGGTTGAGGCAGGAGAATCGCTTCAACCCAGGAGGTGGAGGTTGTAGTGAGCTGAGATCACACCATGGCACTCCAGCCTGGCAACAGAGCAAGACTCCATTTCAAAAAAAAAAAAAAAAACACTGAATGCTTTTGGGCTGGGTGCAGTGGCTCACACGTGTAATCGCAGCACTCAGGGAGGCCAAGGTGGGTGGGTTACCTGAGGTTAGGAGTTTCAGACCAGCCTGACCAATATGGTGAAACCCTGTCTCTACTAAAAAAACAAAAATTGCCAGGTGTGGTGGCACACCCCTGTAGTCCCAGCTACTCAGGAGGCTGAGACAGGAGAATTGCTTGAATCCGAGAGGCAGAAGTTTCAGTGAGCTGAAGTCACATCATTGCACTCCAGCCTGGGCGACAGAGTGAGATTTTGTCTCCAGAAAAAAAAAAAAAAGAAAAGAAAAGAAAAAAAACTGAATATACTAGCAGCCCCCAAATCACCTCTTGAATGCTTTGCTGCTTAGAAATTTCTTCCACCAGACACCCTAAATCATCTCTCTCAAGTTCAAAGTTCCACAAATCTCTAGGGCAGGGGCAAAATGCTGCCCGTCTCTTTGCTAAAACATAACAAGAGTCACCTTTGCTCCAGTTCCCAATAAGTTCCTCATCTCTATCTGACACCACCTCAGCCTGGACCTTATTGTTCATATCACTATTAGCATTTTTGTCAAAGCTGTACAACAAGTCTCTAGGGAGTTCCAAACTTTCCCACATTTTTCAGTTTTCTTCTCAGCCCTCCAAAGTGTTCCAACCTCTGCCTGCTACCCAGTTCCAAAGTCACTTCCACATTTTCAAGTATCTTTTCAGAAACGCCCCACTCTACTGGTACCAATTTACTGTACTAGTCTATTTTCATACTGCTGATAAAGGCATACCAGAGACTGGGCAATTTACAAAAGAAAGAGGTTAATTGGAGTTACAGTTCTGCATGGGTGGGGAAACCTCATGATCACGGTGGAAGGCAAGGAAGAGCAAGTCACATCTTACATGGATGGCAGCAGGCAAAGAAAGAGAGCTTGTGCAGGGGAATTCCTCTTTTAAAACCATCAGATCGGCTGGGCACAGTGGCTCACGCCTGTAATCACAGCATTTTGGGAGGCTGAGGCAGGCGGATCATGAGGTCAGGAGATCGAGACCATCCTGGCTAACACAGTGGAACCCCATCTCTACTAAAAATACAAAAAAAATTAGCCAGGCGTGGCGGCAGGCACCTGTAGTCCCAGTTCCTCGGGAGGCTGAGGGGCTGAGGCAGGAGAATGGCATGAACCCGGGAGGTGGGGCTTGCAGTGAGCCGAGATTGTGCCACCGCACTCCAGCCTGGCGACAGAACAAGACTCCATCTAAAAAAAAAAAAAACCGTCAGATCTTGTGAGACTTATTCAGTATCACAAGAACAGCTCAGGAAAGACTTGCCCCCCCAGGGGCCAGGTGCGGTGGCTCATGCCTGTAATCCCAGCACTTTGGGAGGCCGAGGTAGGCAGATCACGAGGTCAAGAGATCGAGACCATCCTGGCCAACATGGTGAAACTCCATCTCTATTAAAAATACAAAAATTAGCTGGGCATGGTGGCATGCGCCTGTAGTCCCAGCTACTTTGGAGGCTGAGGCAGGAGGATGCCTTGAACCTGGGAGGCAGAGGTTGCAGCGAGCCGAGATCGCACCACTGCACTCCAGCCTGGGAGACAGAGCAAGACTCCGTCTTGGGAAAAAAAAAAAAAAGACTTGTTCCCATGATACAATTACCTCCCACTAGGTCTCTCCCACAACCTGTGGGAATTCAAGATGAGATTTGGGTGGGCACACAGCCAAACCATATCATCCCAAGTGAATACAACTGTTAAAACTCACAGGACAGTATACTTGAGATCTATGCATTTTACTGTATATAAATTATACTTCAATTTACTGTCTGGGCACAGCAGCTCACATCTGTAATCCCAGTACTTTGAGAGGCTGAGGTGAGCAGATCACTTGAGGTCAGAAGTTCAAGACCAGCCTGGCCAACATGGTAAAAACCCATCTCTACTAAAAATACAAAAATTAGCCGAGCATGGGGGCACAAGCCTGTAGTCCCAGCTACTCAGGAGGCTGAGGCAGGAGAATCGCTTGAACCCGGGAAGTGGAGATTGCAGTGAGCCAAGATTCCGCCATTGCACTCCAGCCTAGGTAACAGAGTGAGACTCTGTCTCAAAAAGAAAAAAAAAAAACTTGAATTTAAAAATCATAAAAGAAAAAGGCTGTGGGCCCTACAACTCATCATTGATCATCATTGATCCTTCACTACAGAAGGTCTCTGTACTTTGGCTGAGATGAGAATGGGCACAGGCACTGAGGAGCACTCTGACCACAGCTGGTGCTCCAGAGTTTCTTCCCCACGAGGGCAAACACCTAGAGGTGGCACAGGGAAGGAGAGTTGGGAGAATATCACGTAGTGCAGTCAGCAAGCATCACAGTTTTGCTGGACCCTGGGGGATGTAAAGGGGAGCATTGGGAAACAGATGTGGCAAGGAGACCCTCGAATGCCAGGCTGAAGGGCTTTATCTGTATCAGAGGCAATGAAGTCTGCTGGAGTTTTTGAGCAGAGAATGCTTCTGAAATAAATGCTTTCCTGAGGGTTTTATTGATTCACCTTTGATTCCTTCTTAATGCCTTTTGGAATTCTGAGAAATTCACAAAGCCAGTTAGTAAAGACCCTCCTCCAGAATTATATCAAACTCATAACCTTTAGTCCTCTGATGATCCCCAGAAGCCTGAATAGTGACTGTCAGCTTTGGTTTAAGACTTATTGTATCCTTTTCTAAGACCAGGGAGAGGCCTTCATGGAACTTGTTCAGAGTCCAGAGTATCTACCTTTCTAATTCCATTTTTCTCACCTCCTGCTCGCTTCTTATACGCTGCAATCTTATTTCCCATTCCACTATTCTTCTTCTTTGTCTTCGTCTTCTTTTTTTTTTCTTTTTTTTATTTTTTAGATGGCATCTCGCTCTGTCACCCAGGCTAGAGAGTGCAGTGGCATGATCTTCACTCACTGCAGTGTCCGCCTCCCGGGTTGAAGCCATTCTGCTGCCTCAGCCTCCCGAGTGGCTGGGATTACAGGTGCATGCCACCACACCAGGCTAATTTTTTGTATTTTTAGTAGAGATGGGTTTCACCACATTGGCCGGGCTGGTCTCGAAGTCCTGACCTCAGGTGATCCGCCTGCCTCAGCCTCCCACAGTGCTGGGATTACAGGCATGAGTTGTGATGCCCAGCCTCTACTATTCTTCTTAAACCACTCTCACGCAGAATACCAATTCTATCAATTAGGACTCCGTGTTAGTATATCTATTGCTACATAATAAACTACCCCAAAATTTAGTTGCATTAAAACAATGATAATCTGGGCACGTGCTCTCAGACCAGCCTGGCTAACATAGCGAGACCCCATCTCTACTAAAAATACAAAAAATTTAGCTAGGCATGGTGGCACATACCTGTAATCCCAGCTACTCAGGAGGCTGAGGCAGGAGAATTGCTTGAACCCAGGAGGCGGAGGTTGGATTGAACACAGCCAGAATGGCATGTCTCTGCTCCAGGATGGCCAGGGTCTCATTTGGAATATTTGAATGCTGGGGGCTAGAATCACCTGAAGGCTCATTCACTCACATCTGGTGATAGATTCTGGCTGTCCTGAGACCTAAGATTGTTGGCTAGAACACCTACATGTGACCTCTCCAAGTGGCTTAGGTTTCCTTAAAATATAGAGGCCAGGTTACAAAGGTAAGCACTGAGAGAGAGAGAAAGAGACAATCTGTACCTTGTAAGTCAATAGCATCATGGTGCCATACTCCTTGGTTACGGCAACCACAAGCCCCACCCAGGGGTGGGAAAACAAACCCCACCCAATAGTGGGAAGAGTACCAGTTATTGCAAGAAGAGCATGTGGAATGGGATAAATATACTGATGGAACCATCTTTGGAAAAATACAATCTCCTGAAGATTCTTTGCTTTCATGTAAGAGAAAACCCAAACCTAAATGGCTTTCAAAAGGGGCAATTTATTGGCTCACGTATGTGAAAACTCCAGGGGTTGGGCTGACTCCAAATAAGGCTTGACTGAGTCTAGAGCTATGTCACCAGAACCCACTTTCTCTTTTTCATCTCTGGGTTCAGTTTTTCCTGTGCTGGCTCGAGCCTCAGGCAGATTCTCCCCCTCAAGATGCTGCTGCGGCTCAATCCACATATCTTCTCTTAATCAATTACTGCAGGAAAAGAAAAGTCTGCTTCTCTGACAGTTTATAAAAATATCCTGGAAAGTGAGTTTCTTTGGCCCCAATTGTCCTGACTTGGCTCTTATGCCTGTCCCTGAACAATTCACTGTCATCAAGGAAATGTTCTATGTGAATTGGCTAAGGCTTAAGTCAACATAGCCACCTGTGGCCCTAGGGACAAAATCAGCATCATTATAAGTCACAAGTCTTCTGTAACAGACATTAATTCAAGTACAAGGACAGACTTTACATCAGGAGTTGACATCAGGGGTGTATTTTTCTCACATCATAAAAAGTCTGAAGTCAGGCCAGGCGCTGTAGCTCACACCTGTATTCCCAGCACTTTGGGAGGCCAAGGCGGGTGGATCATTTAAGGTCAGGAATTTGAGACCAGCCTGGCCAACATGGTGAAAACCCTGTCTCTACTAAAAATACAAAAATTAGCCAGGCATAGTGGTGCACGCCTGTAATCCCTGCTACTTGGGAGGCTGAGGCAGGAGAATCACTTGAACCTGGAAGGCAGAGGTTGCAGTGAGCCGAGATTGACTGCACCACTGCACCCCAGTCTGGGCAAGAAAATGAGACTCTGTGTCAAAAACACACACACACAAAAGTCTGAAGTCATATAGTAACATGTCGACCCAGTGGCTCAAGGACTTGGGGTTGGTAGAGCTGGGATTCTCTTGATTTTTTACTGTTTCTCACAAGATGGGTGTCCCAATTCCAGTTATGTATCTTTTGTTTGTTTGTTTGCTTGTTTGTTTTTTGAGACAGAGTCTCGCTCTGTCACCCAGACTGGAGTGCAGTGGCACGATCTCTGCTCACTGCATCCTCCGCCTCCCAGAGGCGATTCTCCTGCCTCAGCCTCCCAAGTAGCTGGGATTACTGGGGCGCGCCACCATGCCCAGCTAATTTTTGTATTTTTAGTAGAGACGGGGTTTCAACATGTTGGCCAGGATGGTCTTGATCTCTTGACCTCATGATCCACCCACCTCGGCCTCCCAAAGTGCTGGGATTACAGGCGTGAGCCACCCCATCTGGCCATGTCTTTTATTTTTATTTCTATTATTTTTTTGAGATGGAGTCTCACTCTGTCACCCAGGCTGGAGTGCAGTGGCACCTCTTGGCTCACTGCAATCTCCTGCTCCCGGGTTCAAGTGATTCTCCTGCCTCAGCCTCCCCAGTAGCTGTGATTACAGGTGCATGCCACAAAGCTTGGCTAATTTTTGTATTTTTTTTTAGATGGAGTCTCCTTTCGCCCAGGCTGGAGTGCAGTGGCATAATCTCGGTTCACTGTAACCTCCACTTTCTGGGTTCAAGCGATTCTGCATCAGCCTCCCAAGTAGCTGAGATTACAGGCGCCTGCTTCCACATCCGTCTGATTTTTGTATTATTTTATTTTTTTTTTTATTTTTTTTTTTGAGATGGAGTCTTGCTCTGTTGCCCAGGCTGGACTGCAATGGCGCGATCTCGGCTCACTGCAACCCCTGCCTCCCAGGTTCAAGTGATTCTCCTGTCTCAGCTTCCCAAGTAGCTGGGATTACAGGCGCATGCTGCCACGCCCGGCTAATTTTTGTATTTTTAGTAGAGACAGGGTTTCACCATGTTGGCCAGGCTGGTCTCAAACTCCTGACCTCAGGTGATCCGCCTGTCTCAACCACCCAAAGTGCTGGGATTATAGGCATGAGCCACTGTGCCAGGCCTAATTTTTGTATTTTTAGTAGAGACAGGATTTCACCATGTTGGCCAGGCTGATCTGAAACTCCTGACCTCAAGAGATCTGCCTGCCTCGGCCTCCCAAAGTGCTGGGATTACAGGTGTGAGCCACTGTGCCCGGCCCAGTTCTAGTCATTTATATCTACCTGGATATCATGTCTGTTTTGGGATACATACCATCTGGCCACTGCTTGCTATAAGGTTGTTGGGAAAGTGAGTACAAGTGAGGCAGGCAAGGGAAAACAGGGTTGGGAATGAGAATGGGGTTATTCAACCCACAGTCTGCCATATCACACCCTGGACATAGAAATGCATCAGCTGGTACTTGGGAGGCAGGCGGATCACTAGAGTTCAGGAGTTCGAGACCAGCCTGGCCAATGTGTTGAAACCCTGTCTCTATTAAAAATACACACACACACACACACAAAAATAGCTGGGCATGGTGGTGTGTGCCTGTAGTCCCAGCTATCTGAGAGGCTGAGGCAGGAGAATCACTTGAACTTGGGAGGCAGATGTTGTGATAAGCCGAGATTGTACCACTGCACTCCAGCCTTGGCGACAGAGCAAGACTGTCTCAAAAAAAAAAAAAAAAAAAGGATGTCTCTTCCCCGGAAAAATTGGAGTACACGTAGCGTAAGAGGTCTAAGGAGACTTTGGATGGCAAACATGAGAAATGACCACAATTCTAGTGTCCTTCCCTTTAATTCTGCCAAAGTATTTTCTTTCTATGGAAAGCTCAGAATAAATCCTGCTGATCTCTTACTGGTAATTGCCAAGCTCTGTAGAAATTTAAGACATTTTCTTATCGGATCTCATTTTTTGTTTGACCCTGTTGATTACTCCCTCCCTTCTGCAGCTCCTCACTTATTCATTAAAACTCCATTTCCTGGCCTGGATGGGTGGCTCACGCCTATAATCCTAGCAATTTGGGAGGACGAGGTGGGTAGATTGCTTGAGCTCAGAAGTTCAAGACCAGCCTGGGCAACATGACAAAACCCTGTCTCAACCAAAAATACAAACATTAGCCAGGTGTGGTGGCTTGCACCTGTAGTCCCAGCTACTTGGGGGGTTGAGGTAGGAGGATCCCTGAGCCCAGGAGCCGGAGGTTGCAGTGAGCTGAGATCATGCCACTGCACTCCAGCCTGGGTACGAGTGAGACCCTGTCTCAAAAACAAAAACAGGCCGGGCTCGGTGGCTCACGCCTGTAATCCCAGCACTTTGGGAGGCCGAGGCGGGCAGATCACCTGAGGTTGGGAGTTCGAGACCAGCCTGGCCAACATGGAGAAACCCTGTCTCTGCTAAAAATACAAAATTAGCTGGGCATGGTGGCACATGCCTGTAATCCCAGCTACTCGGGAGGCTGAGGCAGGAGAATCACTTGAACCCGGGAGGCGGAGGTTGCGGTGAGCTGAGATTGCGCCATTGCACTCCAGCCTGGACAACAAGAGTGAAACTCTGTTTCAAAAAAAACAAAAACAAAAACAAAAAAACCTCCATTTCCCATGGCCTGGCATGGTGGCTCACACCTGTAATCCCAGCACCATCACTTTGGGAGGCTGAGGTAGGAGGATCGCTTGAGGCCAAGAGTTCAAGACCAGTGTGGGCAACATAGCAAGACACTGTCTGAAACAAAAACACCAAAAAACTCTGTTCCCCTTGGTTCTGTGAAACTGAGCTCCCTTGGTTGTACTTGCACCTCTCTGATCATGTTATTTGTGCATTTGAGAGGCCCTTTTTCCTTTCCCTGTCCCACACCTATGAAATGGACTGTGGCCAAATTCTCATTCAGTCTGCTCTCTTCTTTTTGTCATTTTTCTTGAACTGACTGCTCAGTTCAGGTATTTTCATTCTTAGTTCTACAATAAAGAAATTTAAGGTTGTTAATCTTCTTGTAAGTGGAGATTTGGCCCGTTCCCATAAGCTCTGTTACGTAGTGCTCTCCTTTTAGTAAATATCTAAATAGATTTTGCTTTCCTTGAATTTATTTTGTGATATGAATAATGCATAGTCCGCTTTCTTTTTGTTTGCACTTGCCTGTTGTCTTTTCCTAAAGGTTACGTTTAATGTTTCTGCTCATTCATATGTTGCATACACTTGACTTAAATACATACACTTGACTTCCATCTACTACGCATACTAACCCTCTTGACTTGCCATTAGTTTAAATGCCAGTGGCTGCACACCCAGGGATTTCTGAATTTGTGGCCCACTACTAAAAGCACTTTGAATGTCCTTGATATTCTTCATGTAAGAGATACTCCTGGCCAGGCACGGTGGCTCACGCCTGTAATCCTAGCACTTTGGGAGGCCAAGGAGGGTGGATCACCTGCGGTCAGGAGTTCAAGACCAGCCTGGCCAACATAGTGAAACCCCGTCTCTACTAAAAAAAATATAAAAAATTAGCTGGGCATGGTGGCGGTTGCCTGTAATCCCAGCTACTAGGGAGGCTGAGGCAGGAGAATCGCTTGAACCTAAGAGGCGGAGGTTGCAGTGAGCCGAGATCATGCCATTGCACTCCAGCCTGGGCAACAAGAGTGAAACTCCGTCTCAAAAAAAAAGAGATACTCCCTTAACAGGGGATGTATCTCCTGTAAGGGGATGAACTGTGCCAACTGAATCAGGTAGGGTTCTTTGGTTGCAAGCAACAGAAAGCGGTCATGTTTAACTTAAGAAAAAATGATATGAGCTAACTCACAGAAGAAAGGGAATGGCTGAAGAACCAAATCCCCTATCACTTACAGGGGAACATGCAAATTTATTAAACATAGTGTAAAATGTCTTTCATTCCTTTCCCTTAGCCAGACACTGTTCCAAGCGCTAGGAAACCAGTGGAGAACATGATAAAAACAACCTCTGTTTTGAAGACAAATATAGCTAGCACTGATCTGGATCCATGCCTATGGCCCAACAGGCTCTTTTCCTACCACATTTCAATACATACCCTGAATACAACAGCCAGGCACTTCCCTGGTGCACCAGACTCTTTAATGTTTCCATAACTTTGATCACGAAATTTTCTCTGTACTCATTATCCTTTCCTGCAAAGTCCTCTCTCACATCTTTGCTTGGTGACCTTATTCTACTCAGTCTTCAAAAATCAAACAAAAGGTCACCACTATTAGGAGATCAACAACCTCCGCCCCCCTTTTCCTTTTCAATTCAAAACTATTTTAGTTGTAGTCAAAGATGCTGGCTGATTAAGATTAAAATGTCATTTTCATTATTAATAAAGTCTAGGTTGGAGAACATGGCTTATGTTTGAGGCCAAATGACGTTATTAATATTTGGTTTTATGCTGGGCACGGTGGCTCATGCCTGTAGTTCTAGCACTTTGGGAGGCTGATCTAGGAGGATCTCTGGAGCCCAGGAGTTCAAGACCAGCCTGGGCAACATAGGGTAACCCTGTCTCTACCAAAAAAAAACAAAAACAAAAACACTACCTGGGCTTGGTGGCATATGCCTGAGTAGTTGGGAAGCTACTCAGGAGACTGAAGTGGGAGGATCACTTGAACCCAGGAGCTTAAGACCAGGCTGGGCAACATAAGGAGACCATATATCTACAAATAATTTTTTTTTAATTAGCTGAGAATGATGGTGTGCATCTGTGGTCCCAGCTACTCGGGAGGATGAGCCTGGGAGGTCGAGGCTGCAATAAGCCATGATTTCACCACTGAATTCCAGCCTGGGCAAAGGGAACCAGACTCTATAAAAAAGAAAAAGATGGGCCGGGCGCAGTGGCTTATGCCTGTAATCCCAGCACTTTGGGAGGTCGAGGCAGGCGGATCACGAGCTCA